>NC_000023.11:89129208-89432238 GCF_000001405.40 Homo sapiens | reverse complement strand
GAAAGAAGGAAAGACAGAAAGACAGAAAGAAAGAAAGCAGGAAGGCAGGAAGGAAAGAAAGAAATCAGAAATGACAAAAAACAGATGGAAAAATATTCCATGCTCATGGATAGGATGAATCAATATCATAAAAATGGGCATACTGCCCAAAGCAATTTACAGATTCAATGCCATTTCTATCAGAGTACCAATGACATTCTTCACAGAATTATAAAAAAAAAAAATATATATATATATATGGAACCAAAACAGAGCCGGAATAGCCAAAGACATTCTAAGAAAAACAAAACAAACAAACAAACAAAAAACATTAAAGCTGGAAGCATTACATTACTGAACTTCAAACTATACTACAAGGCTACAGTAACCAAAATAGCGTGGAAGTGGTACAAAAACAGACACATAGATCAATGGAACAGAATAGAGAGCCCAGAAATAAAGCCACACGCCTACAACCATCTGTTCTTTGAAAATGTCAACAAAAAAAGGCAGTGGGAAAAGGCCTCCCTATTTAATAAATGGAGCTGGGATAGCTGGCTAGTCATATGCAGATGATTGAAAGTGAACCACTTTCTTACACCATATACAAAAATCAACTCAAGATTATTAAAGACATAAATGTAAAACCTAAAATTATAAAAACCTTTGAAGAAAACCCAGGAAAATCCATTCTAGACATAAGCCTTGACAAAGATTTTATGACAATGATGCCAAAAGCAATTGCAACAGAAAGAAAAATTGACAAATGGGACCTAATTAAACTAAATAGCTTCTGCACAGCTGACATCATACTTAATAACCAAAAGCTGGAAGAATTTCCCTTGAAAACTGGAACAAAACAAAGATGCCCACTCTCACCACACCTATTCAGCATATTACTGGAAATCCTATCCAGAGCAATCGGGCAAGACAAAGAAACAAAAGACAGTCAAATAAAAAGACAGGGAGTCAAACTCTCTTCAAAGACATTATAATTCTATACCCAGAAAATCCTCTAGTCTCTGTACAAAGGCTTCTAGATCTGATGAATGACTTCAGCAATGTTTCAAGAATCAACATCAGTGTACAAACATCAGTAGTATTTCTATCCATCAATACTGTCCAAGCTGAGAGCCAAATCAAAAATACAATTCCATTCCCAATAATCACATACATATACACAAAAATACCTAGGAAAACAACTAACCTGAGAAGTTAAAGATCTTTTCAACAAGAATTACAAAATGCTGCTCAAAGAAATCAAAGATGACACAAACAAATGGAAAAACACTCCAAGCTCAGGGATAGGAAGAATCAATATTTTTAAAATGGCCACAAGAATGACCCGAGCAATTTACAGATTCAGTGCTACTCCTATCAAATTATTAATGCCATTCTTCACATAATCAGAAAAATCTTTTTTAAAATTCACGTGGAACAAAAATATAACAAACATCCAAAGCAATCCTAAGCAAAAAGAAAAAAGCTGGAAGCATCATAACATCCAACTTCACACTATAGTGCCAGGGTAAAATAACTAAAATAGCATGGTACTGGTACAGAGATGGGCACATAGATCAATAGGAAAGGATGAAAGGCCACAAATAAAGCCACACACCTAAAAACATCTGATCTTCGACAAAACTGACAAAAACAAGCAATTGGGAAAGAATCCCCATTCAATGAATGGTGCTGGGATAGCTGGCTTGCCATATGCAGAATGTTGAAATGGGACTCCTTCCTTATACCCTATACAAAAATCAACTCAAGATAGCTTGAAGACTTAAATGTAAAACCTAAAGCTATAAAAACTATAGAGGAAGACCTATGAAATGCCATTCTTAGACATTGGCCCTTGCTCAGAAATCATGATGCAGCCTCCAAAGGTAATTTCAACAAAAACAAAAAATTGACAAATCGGACCTAATCAATCTAAAGAGCTTCTGCAAAACAAAAGAAACTATCAGAGTAAACAGACAACCTACAATATGGGTGAAAATATTTGGAAACTGTGCATCCAGCAGAAGTCTAATATCCAGAATCTAGAAGGAACTCAAGTCAACAAGCAAAAATAATCCCATGTAAAAATGGGCAAAGACATGAACAGACAATTTTCAAAAGAAGATACACACGTGGCTATCAAGCATATGGAAAAATGTTCAATATCACAAATCATTAGGGAAATGCAAATCAATGCCACGAAGAGATACCATCAGAATGGCTATCAGAATAACACCAGTCAGAATGGCTATCATTAAAAAGTCAAAAATAAATAAATAACAGATGCTGGAGAGGTTGTGGAGAAAAGGGAAGGCTTCTACACAGTTAGTGGGAATTTAATTTTTCTTTAGCCAATGTGGAAAACACTTTGGAGATTTCTCAAAGAAGTTAAAACAAAACTAACATTTGACCTAGCAATTCAATTAATGGGTATATACTCAAAGGAATATATATTATTCTACCATAAAGACACACACATGAGTAAGTTCATCGCTGCACTATTCACAATAGCAAAGACATGGAATTAACCTAGATGGCCACCTACAGTGAATGGGATAAAGAAAATGTGGTGCATGTAATGTACATCATGGAATACTACAAAGATTTTTAAAAATTAGATCATATTCTTTGCCACAGCATGAATGAAGCTGGAGGCCATAATCATAAGTCAATTAATGCAGGAACAGAAAACCAAAGACTACATGTTCTTACTTATAGGTGGGAGCTAAACATTGGTACCCATGGACACAAAGTAAGAAACAATAGACACTGGAGCTTATTTGAGGTTGAAAGGTAGGAGGATAGTGAGAATTGAAAAACTCTCTACTGGGTAGTATGCTGATTACCTGTGTTACAAAATTATCTGTATGCCAAACCAGCATGACATGCAATTTACCCGTATAACAAACTGGCACATGTACTCCTTAAACCAAAATAAAAACTGGGGGGAAAATATCTCAGTAACTAAGTCTAAAAAACAAAGGCTTCCAAATTACTTGAATGAATTTAAAAAATGTCCATAGTTATCAATAATTATTTTATTATTTTTATACTTCTGTTTACTTTTTAATAGACTATAACAAA
Source organism: Homo sapiens (assembly GCF_000001405.40). NCBI lineage: Eukaryota > Metazoa > Chordata > Mammalia > Primates > Hominidae > Homo > Homo sapiens. Next base: position 89,429,175 of record NC_000023.11, on the reverse strand, counting down.
ATAAACTACCTAATAATACATCTAACAAAAATGTGTTTTGAATATAATAAAAACCATAGAAAGTTCCTAAGTTATATGAATGTAGACATAAACACATGAAAAATCAAATCATGTTATTAGATGGGAAAACTCAATATTATCAATATCAATTGTTCTTAAGGTAATTTACAAATTTAATTTTGTTCCAATACAGATACAATTAAGTAATGCAGATGGGCATGTTATTGTATAAAAGTCTTTTATTTCTTTCCAAACACTATTTTAGGTTTAGGGGGTACATGTGCAGGTTTGTTACAAGGGTAAGTTGCATGTCACAGAGGTTTGGTGTACAGATCATTTCACCAGCCAGGTGATGAGCATAGCATCACATAGGTAGGGTTTTAATTCTCAATCTCCTCTCACCTTCCACCCTCAAGTAGGCCCCAATGTCTATTGTTCCCTTCCTTATGTCCCTGTGTACTCAACGTTTAGCTCCCACTCATAAGTGAGATCATGTGGTATTTGGTTTCTGTTCCTGCATTAATTTGCGTAAGATAATGTCCTCTGTCTGCATACATGTTGCTGCAAATGACATAATTTTACTTATTTTTATGGCTGTGAAGCATTCCATGGTATATATGAACCACATTTTCTTTATCAAGTGCACCATTGATGGACATCTGGGTGGATTCCATGTCTTTGCTATTGTGAATAGTTCTGTGATGAACCTACATGTGCATATGTCATTATGGTAGAAAAATTTATATTCCTTTGTGTATATACTTAGTAATGTGATTGTTTGGTCAAATGGTAATTGTGTTTTAAATACTTTGAGGAATCACCAAACTGCCTTCTGCAATGGCTGAACTAATTTACATTCCCACCAGCAGTGTATAAGCATTCTCTTTTCTTTGCAACCTCACCAACATCTGTTATTTTTTGACTTTTTTATAATAGCCATTCTGACTGGTGTGAGATAGTATTGCATTGTGGTTTTAATTTGTGCTTCCCTAATGATTAGTGATATTGTGCATTTTTTCATATGCTTGTTGGCCATGTGTTTGTCTTCTGAGAAGTGTCTGTTCATGTCATTTGCCCATTTTTAGTGGAGTTCTTTCTTTCTTTTTTTCTTGATTTTGTAAAGTTACTTATAGATTCTGGATATTAGGTTTCTGTTGGATGTATAGTCTGCAAGTGTATTTTCCCACTCTGTAGGTTGTCTGTTTACTGTGTTGGTAGTTTCTTTCACTATGTCAAAGCTCCTTAGTTTAATTTGGTCCCGTTTGTCAATTTTTATTTTTGTTGAAATTATTTTTGGAGTCTTCACCATGAAATCTTTGCCAGACCAATATCCAGAATAGTATTTCCTAGGTTTTTCTCTAGGGTTTTATAGTTTTAGGTTTTACATTTAAGTCTTTAATCCATGTTGAGTTGCTTTTTACATCTGTTTAAATAAAGGGGTTCAGTTTTAATCTTCTGCCTATGGCTAGTAAATTATCCTAGTAGCATTTATTGAATAGGGATTTCTTTCTGCATTGCTTGCTATTGTTGAGTTTGTCAAAGATCAAATGGTTCTAGGTGGACGACTTTATTTCTGGGTTCTCTAACCTGTCCCATTTATCTATGTGTCTGTTTTTGTACCAGTACCATACCTTTTTGGTTATTATAGCCTTGTAGTATAGTTTGACATCAGCTATTGTGATGCCTCTGGCTTTGTTATTTTGCTTAGGATTTCTTTGCTGTTTGGGCTCTGTTTTTGTTCCATGTGAATTTTAGAAGTGATTTTTCTAACTATGTGGAAAACCTCATTGGTAGTTTGTAGGGTTTTTGCTGAAAGGTCTACTCTTAGCCAGATTGGGTTCTTTTTGTAAGCAACTTGCCCCTTATTTCTAGCTGCCATATATATATGTATATATATATGCCATATATATACATATGCCATGTATATATGCCATATATGATATGCCATATATGATATGCCATATATGATATGCCATGTATGATATGCCATATATGATATGCCATGTATTATATGCCATATATGATATGCCATATATTATATGCCATATATGATATGCCATATATAATATGCCATATATATGCCATATATAATATGCCATATATTATATGCCATATATTATATGCCATATATAATATGCCATATATTATATGCCATATATAATATGCCATATATATGCCATATATAATATGCCATATATATATGCCATATATAATATGCCATATATATATGCCATATATAATATGCCATATATATGCCATATATAATATGCCATATATATATGCCATATATAATATGCCATATATAATATGCCATATATAATATGCCATATATATGCCATATATACTTATATATGTATATATGTGATATATATGGCATATATATACTTATATATGTATATATGTGATATATATGGCATATATATACTTATATATGTATATATATGTGATATATATATGCCATATATATACTTATATATGTATATATGTGATATATATATATGTGTGTATATATATATATATACTGCATTGGGGATGGTTGCCTTGCATACTGTTTCACAGGGGTTCCCTGAATTTCCTTACTTTGAACATTGCTTTCTCTACTGAGGTTGGAGAAATTTTTGTGGACAATACCCTTGAATATATTTTCCAAGTTTCTAGTTCCCTCTCCTTGTTTTTCAGAGACACCAATGTGTCATAGGTGTGGTGGTCTCTTTATATAATTCCATATTTCTTGTAGGTTTTGTTAATTCTTTTGTATTTTTTTCTTCTTTATTTTTGTCTGACTGAGATTCAAAGAACTGGTCTTTGAACTCTGAGATTCTTCCTGCAGCTTGGTCTATTCTGCTGTAAATACTTCCAATTGTATTATGAAATTGTTGTAGTGAAAATTTCAGCTGTAGAAAATCAGTTTGGTTTTTGCATATAATAGTTATTTTCTGTTTGAGCTCTTGTATCATTTTACTAAATTTCTTAGTTTCCTTGGCTTGAGTTTCAATTTTTTCCTGAATCTTCATGATCTTCATTGTTATCCAGATTCTGAATTATATGTTTATATTTTAGACATATCAGCTTGGTTAAAAAGTATTGCTGGAGAGCTAGTTCAATTGTTTGTTTGGATATAAGGGTGCTCACCAACCCTGTGCAGGGTTCCCAGCTTCCTCCCCCTTCAGTCTATGTCCTCCCTTTACCCACTCTCAATGCCTTCTTCCTGAAAATTTGCTTGGAGTATGCTGGTCTTTTTGATAGTCTAGTCTCTTAGTGGGGGAAGCTCTTTCTATCTGCATCTAGTTGGCCATTTTGGCACTTTTGCAAAAAAAATTGTATAGATGAAAACTCAAATAAGACTATCCAAGTAAACTAAACTTTTTGAGCTATATGAGCTTTGGAATCCCCTTGCCTTTTCTTTGTCCACTTCCCAGCTTCTGGAGTGCCATGTTGTCCTCCCTACTGATCTCTCAGGTCCTGTGAGTCACAGGGAATAGAAAGTTGAGGCAGAGCCATGTGGGCCTCCCAGAGTGAAGAAAAAAAAAGCAGTGGAGGCTGCTCAATAACTACTTTGAATGTAAATAGTTTAAACTGCCCAATCAAATGACATAGATTGGCAGAATATTTTAAAATAGAAACATGATTTAACTATACACTGACTATAAAGACTCATTTTAAATCTAAGGATATACAGTAAAAATGAAAGGATAGTTGATTTTCATACATTATATGAATGTATCAAATTATCACATATACCCTGAAAATATGTACATCTATTATGCATAAATAAAAAAAGAAAAAAATGAAGAAACATATTTAGCAAAGAAAGTGAAAGAATGGGGAAAATATTTCATGCAAATAGTAAAAAAAATTGAGCAGAAGTGGCTACATTAATATTAGACAAATAATTCTCAAGTCAAAAATAGTTACTAGAGACAAAAATGGACATTATGTAATAATAAAGTGTTCAAATAACCAAGAAGATACAGTAGTCCTCCCTTATCCACGTGGCATAAGTTTCAAGACTCATCCCACAATAGATGCCTAAAACCATTGATAGTACCAAATCCTATATCTATCTATATATATGTATATATGTGTATATATGTATATATATGTGTGTGTGTGTATATATATATACTATTTATTGCACTTATATGCATTTATGTACCAAATGTCTGAGTCTGAAAATATGTGAAGCGAATACTGATGAATTTGACGGGATGACGAGAAGAGATACTTTGCATGATTTAATGTTTTTAAATTAATTAAGACTTTTTCTGTGGCCAAGCATATTGTCTATCTTGGAGAACATTCTATATGCACTCAGAAAAAAATATATTCTTCTGTGTTACATATGTTTGTTACATCCAATTGGTCTATAATGTTTATCAAATTCTCTTTTCATTTATCAAACTTCTGTCTTATTTTTTCTATTATTGAACGTGGGATATTGAAGTCTCTTAGAGACTTCAATATCCCACGTTCAATAATTTAAAAACATTAAATCATGCAAAGTATCTCTTCTCATCACAATTGAATAAAAGTAGAAATGAAGCAAAAGAAAACTGAAAAATCCACAAATATGTGCAAATTAAACAATACACTCTTTAAAAAACAATGAGTGAAAGATAAAATCACTAAAGAAATTAGAAAATGCCTTGAGAAAAATGAAAATAAAAACACAAAATAATAAAACTTATAGATGCAGCCAAAAAAATGCTAAGAGGGAATTTTTAAATGTAAGTGCGTACATTGAAAACGAAGCAAGAATTCAAATTAACTACCTAACTTTAAGTCTTATGAAACTAAATAAGGAGAAAAAACTAAATCCAAGTCAGAAGAAGGAAATAATAAGGCTTTGAGCAGAGATAATCAAAATGGAGAATAGAAAATCAAGATAAAAAATAAGTCAATAATTTCCTTTTACAGGGCTGATTCTTAAACTGATCTCTCCTGAGTCCTAATCAGTACTATTTTCACTGCACCATAAACAAAGTGCACCAATTTCCGTGTAACCTAATTAAACCTATTAGCAAAATTTTTATTTGGCAGCTAGAACCATGACAGTAGGTCCAATTTGCAGAGCGCAGTGCAAAAGGAAAATGTAGGCCTCATCTGGGTGTTGAGCAGTCAAACTCTCCTTCCCATGGGCCTCCCTACCCCAACCCATGGCCAATGTGTGACTCCTAAGGACTGCAACCTCTGCAATTAGGCAATTGCTATGGTCACTAATTCTTTTCTCTGCCTCTCTATTGTGCTGTTGAGCACACTCAAAGTTTTGTTTAGTTTTTGTTTATTATATTTTACAGTTTGTTGTAGTTTATTTTGTGCTGGTGTAACAGAATGCTACAGACTGGGTAATTTATAAACAATATAAGTTTTTCTGGCTTACACTTCCGGAGGCTGGGAAGTCCAACATAGAGGGGCTGCATCTGGTGAGGGTCTTCTTGCTGCAGCATAACATGGCAGGAAGTATCACATGGAGAGACATCACATGTGGATGAGAGAGAACAAGAGGGAACCAAACTCACTTTTATACCAAACCCACTCTCATGGTAATGAACCCACTCCATTGATAATGGTATTAATACACTTAAGAAGGCAGAGACCTCATGATCTAATTGCTTCTTATAGGTCTCACCTCTTGACACTATTTCACTGGGTATTAACTTTTCAAAACATTAACTTTGGGGGATACATTCAAGCTATAGGACTGTTATACAATTTTTATTTGTTGCTTCTTATATCTTCTATTTTTAGGTTTAACAATTCTATTTCTTTGCTGGAACTTTGTATTTTGTCATTTGTTCGAAACACTTTGGTAAGTGCTCATTGAAGCATTTTTATTATTGCTGCTTTAGAATCTCTGTCAGATAATACTAACATCTCTTTCCTCTTGGTGATGTCAACCATTGCTTGCCCTTTTTCGTTCATTGTGCAACCTATAGCAGCCTGGATTAGAGATTTTGTATCTGTAAAATGTTGGCCATATTGGAACCCTGATGAAAAAAAGATTGTGCTGATAATTTCTCTTTATTTTTACTTTGTTTCCTCATGTTTGCTATCTTAAGCCACTATAATATATAGAACTGAAATATTTATGACATTTTAAAAATTTTCATTTTTTAAGAGACAGGATCTCACTGTCACCCATGCTGGAGTGCAGTGGCACAATCATAACCCACAGCAGCTATGAACTCCTGGGCTCAAGCAATCCTCCTCTCTTACCCTACAGAGTAGCTAGGACTACAGGTGCATGCCACCACACCTCTTATTTTTTATTTTTGTAGAGATGGAGTCTCACTATGTTGCCCAGGCTGGTCTTGAATTATTCACCTTCAAGGAATCTTTCCACCTTTGTCTCCCAAAGGGCTGGAATTACATGCATGAGCCACAACAAGTGACATTTATTTAATAGTGTTTTATGGTGCCAATTTAAAATGTTTGGAAGTTGAAAATAATATTTTATGCTTTCATTGCAGGACAGAAGTTTGTAACTTCCATTGTATGTGTGTGCATATGTATATGTATGTGTTTATGTGTGTACATATATAATCAAAATGTATATATTTACATAATATATATTGTATAATATAATGCATTTGAAACAGTTGTTTACTATATATCTACATATATAGTAAGATATCTATGTATACATAGCATTATAAATATATAGTACACTACAGTAATCTATATATATTATATATGTAAGATATATATACATGATAGAAATGTGAAAATTCAACAATGCTTTCTTATGTTGTTGCTTCTTATATGATAATAATTAACTCCAGAAATAATGTCAGAGACAAATAAATTTGAGAGACTGATGAAGAGTAAGTCCCCACCTTAGCTTATGGCCTAGGCCTATCAGCTAGACACCGATAAGAAATGATTATGAAATGATATTAGCTGGAGGATAATATATTGTTAGTCAGAAACTGAGATGTAATAAAATGGCAAGGTAGCTCTTGCCAAAAGAGAAAAAATTTTTTCTTGAGTTAAATAATTCAGTCATACCTAATAATGCCATGCTTAAACTGAATCTTACTAATAGTAAAGCAAATTAACATAATCACCTATCATTGAAAGTGTTCTTTGCAGATTATTCATGTCATCTTGCAATTATCTTTAAATGTTTATTTAAACCTTTACTTAAAAGTCAATGAGCTTACTTTGCAAGAGGCATAAATCTAATGTTTTGTATTTCGATGTTTTCCAGCCTATGCAATGTCCATCAGGCATGTATTTATGTAATATTATTTGAGATTGCGTTTAAAATTTCAAAGCACATGTTTCCTAGAAGTGGATCTTTAACATAATGACGACTATATTATCAGAAAATATTTTAATCACCATTTGTAAGAATAATATCCCCCAAAAAAGGTCAATTTTATACACAGAGAAAATAGCTATTATATTCTTTGTCCCACTATTCTCATCTTCCTCTGGCTTTTTGTCAAATAGCTGCAAGTTGTTAAAGGAGGCTAAGTTATCTCTGCCCATTGTTATCTACTCGCACAATGAGCAGTAGGACATTCCAACTTTGTAAGTGTAGAATTCAACATCTACTTTTAATGTCAAAATATTCACTTGGTTAGTACATCTAGTTGACATATGCCAGAGTGTATCACATTTTATTTTTTTTTATATTCTTGGCCAAAGATACTCATTTCTAAATAAAGAATGTCCTTAAACCACCTCAACCTATAGCTTTTCCACTGAATGTTTATTGGGTTTCTAATGTTTAATTAACTTCAGAAGGTAATGTAATAATGTGAAAGTAAAAAGGCCAATAAAACTATGGCAAAACACTTCCCTTATGCATTTATGCATTGTAATATTATAAACTAAATTTAATGTGACTTTAGAGATGTAATTTTGGCTTTTTAACAATTAGGATGACTAATGAAAAAAGGTATTGTAGAAAACGTAAAAGGGAGTAACAAAAGATTTCAGAAGAACTATATAAAACAGAATTTCAGATGTTAATGACTAAAGACTCCAATAATTAGTAATACTGACAACAGTTACTGTTTACTAGGTGCTTGATGTTAAATTACATAATTCTCACCACAAACTCATAAATTAGAAATTATTTTCCCATTTTAAATGAGGAAAAGAAACTTTATGTGGATTTTTGCCCTAGTCTAAATTTACCCATCTAATAAACTATTTTAAAACTTGTGTTATTTGCTAGTACTCTCTAACAACCTTCTTTGAAATGACTACCTTAGTTATCTACTTGAAAGCACTAATGCAGACAAGACTCAAATTTTCTTCAAGATTTGTAGCACTCTCAAACATCGGGTCCAATTGATATCTGGTATCTGCCGAGTATATTGATAAAACCAAACTGCACAGCACATTGTTCTGATAGGAAACTCTGATAGCTTTTAATAGAAACTGTAATGAGTGACATATTTCTTCACTTTTCTTGAAGTATACCCCTTAGTATTTGTTCATTGAGAAACAGCTGTCATTGATGGACAAGCCTGCATATGGATGATAGTACATGCAACAGGGCTATAAACCACAAACAATAAGGCAGATTGTGATGGTTAATGTTAGGTGTCAACTTGATTGGATTGAAGAATGCCTAGATAGCTGGTAAAGTATTGTTTCTGCGTGTGTCTGTAAAGGTGTTGCCAGAGGAGATTAACATTGCAGTAGGTGGACTGGGAAAGGAAGCAAAATATGGGTGGGCACCATCCAATCCGCTGCCAGAGCAGCTAGAACAAAGCTAGAGGAAGAAGGTGGGATAAACTGACTTGAGTCTTCTGGCTTTCGTCTGTCTCCTGTGCCGGATGCTTTCTTCTGTTCCTCCTGCTCTTGAACATCAGACTCCACGTTCTTCGGCCTTTGGACTCACACCAGTGTTTTGCCAGGGGCTCTCAGGCCTTCGGCCACAGACTGAAGACTGACTGCAGTCGGCTGCCCTGCTTTTGAGGCTTTTGGTCTCTGACTGAGCCACTACTGGCTTCTTTCTTCCTCAGGTTGCAGACAGCCTATCGTGGGAATTCGCTTTGTGTTACTGTGAGCCAATTCTCCTTAATAAACTCCCTTTCATATATACATATATCCTATTAGTTCTGTCCCTCTGGAGAACCCCAATACACAGATTAATTAGAAAAATTAAATCACTGGTAGTTGGTTACATTATGGGCTATTTCCTTTATTCTCATATTATTTATGATTACTGTCAAGTGCATAGTGTCTCAGAGACCTAAAAATGTATAGTTATATAAACTAGACATAAAATATTAATCTGGTACAAGAGAAATAGACTATTAACACTTGAATATCAATTCTTAAGAAAATTAATGAAAATATAATGATAGTATAATTAATGCATGTGTGTGTATCTGATTTTTAAAAATATGTTGCCAATATTCTTTTCCTGTAACAGGTCATTTATGGACATTTCAACATAGCTATAAAGTATATAAAGGGAGTTAATGATGGTGGTAAAATTTAATAAAAAAATTTTAAGAAATTTATATTTACCTGATTAAGATTAGATTAAAATCTGTTAAGATTTTATGAAGACTTCAACAAAGATACTGGCCAGGCACGGTGGCTCACACCTGTAATCCCAGCACTTTGGGAGTCTGAGGCAGGAGGACTGCTTGAGGCCAGGATTTCAAGACCCAGCGTGGGCAACATAGGGAGATTCCGTCTCTACAAATAATCAAAAATTAACTAGGTGTACTGGTCCCTGCCCATGGTTCCAGCTACTCAGGCTAAGGTGGGAGGATCAATTGAGCCTGGGAGGTCCAGGCTGCAGTGAAATATGATCACAACACTGCACTCCAGCTTGGGCAAGAGAACAAGATCCTGTCTAAAAAAATAATGTAAATAAAAAATAAAAGATAAATGCCATGTTAATGTTGACGGTTCAATCTCTGATTTTCTGTGGATAATGTTATTCATTGTTTCTTATTTAAAATCTTTTGTTTCCATTTCAAAGTAGCCATATCCTTCCCTAAACAAGTAAAGAGATTTGAAACAAAATAATTCCTGGATTAGTAATTTTACTTCTAAGAGCCTATTATTTGAAAATTGCCTGAAAACATCATAAACACACACACACACACACACACACACACACACACATTTTTATCACAAAATGGCTTATGATAATCAAAAATGGAAAAAAATAAACTGTACCCCAAAATAGGCAAAATGCATACATACAAGTCATCAATTAGATGAGATGTTATGCAGTCACTTACAACCGCATATACAAAGAATTTGCAACATCATGAAAAATAATCAGAAATAATATTAAATGATTAAGAGTATATTTCATGTATAGTGAGTGTAATCAGAGCTACAAATATATATAACACTAATAAAATACACTAAATATTATTTATATTTCGAAAAACTCAAGATTTTAAAATACTATGTTTTAATGTGAATGGACACAAAACTTTTCACTAATATTTTTGTCATTCCTAGCTTAAAGTATATGCGTGTTAAAATTGTCAATGTAAAAAAACCCTTTAGGTCGTGAATGACTCTAATCCAAATATGCCAAAGCTTATCTTCATATTGAACCTTATAGCTTCTAGTGAGTAATACTTACTTTCCTCTAATATCGTAACTTTTTAGTAGTTTATTAAGGTTACCTCTATTATGTAAAACATCATAATTGTTCCATTTTATAAATTGCTCATCAGATTATCATTAATAATCTGACATATATCAAGTAACCTTGAAACATGTGATTTCATAATTCTCTAACTTATAAATGAATATTAATAAAACACATGTATAATGTATACTTCTATAATATATAAATTTTTACAAACCTTTAGCTAGACACATATGTAATGTAATATATATAATATAATATTATATTACATAATACATAATATATAATATATAATATATATTGCTTTGTGGCCCAGGCTGGAGTGCAGTGTCAGGATCTCGGCTCACTGCAACCTTGGCCTCCTGGGCTCAAGCAATTCTCATGCTTCAGCCTTCCGAATAGCTGGGAATATAGGCGTGCACCACCACACCTGGCTAACTTTTGTATTTTTAGTACAGATGGGGTTTTGCCATGATGGCCAGGCTGGTCAATATGAGCTCCTAGTCTCAAGTGATCCCACCTCAGCCTCCAAAAGTGCTCGGATTACAGGCATCAGCCACTGTGCCTGACCATACATATTTTTAAATACAGATTTGGAATGAAAAAATATATTTTTTTTTCTCTGTAAACAAAGTCACAAAGTATCCCAGCGTGTCCAGAATTGGTGGGTTCTTGGTCTTGTGGACTTCAAGAATGAAGCTGCAGACCCTCACGGCGAATGTTACAGTTCTTAAAGATGGTATGTCCGGAGTTTGTTCCTTCTGATGTTCAGACGTGTCCGTAGTTTCTTTCTACTGGTGGATGTGTGGTCTCACTGGCCTCAGGAGTGAAGCTGCAGACCTTCGTGGTGAGTGTTACAGTTCATAAAGGTGGCGCCTCCGGAGTTGTTCGTTCCTCCCGTCTGGAGTTGTTCCTCCCTCCTGGTGGGTTCCTAGTCTCGCTGGCTTTAGGAGTGAAGCTTCAGACCTTCGTGGTGAGTGTTACAGCTCTCAAAGGCGGCACGGACCCAAAGAGTCAACAGCAGCAACATTTAGCAGGAAGAGCAAAGGAACTAAGCTTCCACAGCATGGAAGGTTGCCGTTGCTGGCTGAGGTGGCCTGCTTTTATTCCTTTATCTGGCCCCACCCACATCCTGCTGATTGGTCCATTTTACAGAGAGCTGATTGGTCCGATTTGAGAGAATGCTGATTGTTGTGTTTACAAACCTTCAGCTAGACACAGAGTGCTGATTGGTGCGTTTACAATCCTTTGGCTAGAGGAAAAGTTTTCCAAGTCCCCACCCATCCCAGAAGCCCAGCTGGCTTCACCTCTCACTGGCAGTCACCCGTGGGCACTCCGGCAGCCCAGAAGGAGCTCATTCCCTGATCAAACCCAGCAGGTGCTGGCAGGCCATGCCCACCCGGAACCCAAGCCAACCCGCGAGTGCTGCACTCAGCCCCAGCTCCCACCTGCGCCTCCCCCTCCACACCTCCCCGCAAGCAGAGGGAGCCGGCTCTGGCCTCGCCAGTCCCAGAGAGGAGCCCCCACAGTGCAGTGGCAGGCTGAAGGGCTCCTTGAGTGTGGCCAGAGCAGAGGCTGAGGCCAAGGAGCTTCCGAGAGCAAGCGAAGGCTGCTAGCACGTTGTCACCTCTCACCAGGCTATTCAAATAAAACTTCTGCAATATATACTAATGGTAGACTGGAGTCAGCGTGATCTATGCTCAAATATAGGCTCTGCTACTTACTATTTGTGGGATTATGAGCATATGAAAATAGATAATATAGTCAAGCTCTCGTTTGCTATTTATAATTAAATAAAATATTGCATATGAATTGCCTATATATTAAAATTCAGTAAGGCAGCAATCGATGAAGTATATCATCATCCTCATCATCATCATCAATACTATGTTCAGATTTGGTTTGTTACTTACAATTCGACACCTTTAACTTAGAACTAAGAGAAGATGCAAATTAAATATCCAAAGAGGAGATACATATCACTACATGCCCTGAAGTCAGCAAAAGTATAGTAAAATAATACTATGAAAGTCTCTATATACATAAATTTGACAAACTAAATAATATTGACCCATCTTAAAAAAACAAACTGTCACAACTCGCCCAATATAAAATAAATAATTTGAATAGCCCCATCATATTAAGTATACTGAATTTGTAATTTCAAATACTCCCACAAAAGAACCTCCAGACCAAGATGGTTTCATTAGAGAATTCTATCAAATTTCTGAAGAATTAATACCAATTCTCCATAATCTATTTCATAAACTGAAACATTACAGAATATTTTCTAATTCATTTTATGAAGCAAGCATTATCCTAATACCAGAACCAGACAAAGACAGTACATAGAAAGAAAACTATCTCTCGTGGATATGCACACAAACTCATCCACACCCAGACACAAGTTTCAGAAAACCTTTACTGCATTCGTAACAGTATGGTTATCACCTTGATATTTTCTATATTGTTATTGCCAGTTGTATTTGAATTTTTACCTGTTATTTTAGGTTTGGGTGTACATATGAATGTTTGTTACATAGGTAAGCACATGTCATGTGGGTTTGTTGTACACATTATTTCATCACCCAGGTATTAAACCCAGTACCCAATAGTTGTCTTTTCTGCTCCTCTTTCTCCTTCCTCCCTACCTCCTCAAGTAGACCCCAGTGTCTGTTGTTTCCTTCTTTGTGCTGATAAGTTCCCAGAATGTCTATCATTAAAAAGTAAAGGCCAGGCACAGTGGCTCACACCTGCAATCCCAGCACCTTGGGAGGCCGAGGCGTGCAGATCACCTGAGGTCGGGAGTTTGAGACCAGCCTGACCAACATGGAGAAACCCCATCTCTACTAAAAATACAAAATAGCTGGGCATGGTGGCACATGCCTGTAATCCCAGCTACTTGGGAGGCTGAGGCATGAGAATTTCTTGAACCTGGGAGGCAGAGGTTGTGGTGAGCAGAGATTGCACCATTGCACTCCAGCCTGGGCAACAAGAGCGAAACTCCATCTAAAAAAAAAAAAAAAAGAAGTAAAACAAGCAAACACAAAAACAATGAATTCTGGTGAGGTTGTAGAGAAAATAAACACTTATAAACTGACGGTAGAAATGTAAACTAGTTCAGCCACTGTGAAAAGCAGTTAGGGGATTTCTCAAACAACTTAAAACAGAACTAACATTTGACCCAGCAATCCCACTACTTGGTATATATGCAAAGGAAAATAAATCATTCTACCAAAGAGACACATGCATGCATATATGTTAATCACAGCACTATTCACAATAGCAAAGACATGGAATCAACCTAGATACCTGTAATGATGGACTGATTAAAAAAATGTGGTACATATGCACCATGGAATACTACGCAGCCATCAAAAAAGGTTAGTCATGTCCTTTGCAGCAACAGGATCTACCTGTAGACCATAATCCTAAGTGAAGTAACGCAGAAACATAAAACAAAATGCCCCTGCCTCAGCCTCCTGAGCAGCTGGGACTACAGGTGTGCACCACCACGCCCGGCTAATTTTTTGTATATTAGTAGATACGGGGTTTCATAATGTAAAATGCTTTTATGTACACTTAAAAAGAAGAAAAGAAAAATAATAATAGACATTCTGTCTGGTGTGAGGATCTCATTGTGGTTTTAGTGTGCATTTCTCTACTGATTAGTGATGATGAACATTATTTCATAAATTTGTTGACCACATATATGTCTTCTTTGGAGAAGCGTCTGTTTGTCTTTTGCCCATTTTTAATAAAGATATTTCTTTTTTGTTCCTGAATTATTTAAGTTTCTTATAGATTCTGGATATTAGACCTTTCTTAGATGCATAGCTTATGAATATTTTCTCCCATTATTTAGGTTGTCTGTTTAATCTGTTGATAGTCTCCTTTGTTGGGCAAAACCTCTTTAATTAGGTCCTACTTGTCAAATTTTGTTTTGGTTGTAATTGCTTTTGAGGACTTAATCAGAATTTCTTTGCCAAAATTGATATTCAGAATGGTATTTCCTAGATTTTCTCCTGGGTTTTGTTTTAGGTCTTACATTTAAGTTTTTTAACCCATCTTGAATTAATCTTTGCATATGGTGAATGGAAAGGGTTTAGAGTCAGTCTTCTGCATATGACTAGCCAGTTATCCCAGCACAATTTATTGACTATGGAGCCTTTTGCCCATCATGTATTGTTGCCAAATTTGCTGAAGATCAGGTGGTTGGTAGATGAATAGCTTCATTTCTGGGTTCTGTAACCTGTTCCAATGGTCTATGTGTCTATATGTTGTATCAGTATCATGATGTTTCGGTTATTGTAGCCTTGTAGCATAGTTTGCAGTTTGGTAGTGTGATTCTTCTGTCTGTTCTTTTTCCTTAGGACTGCTTTGGCTATTTGCACTTTTTTTGGGGGGCGGGGGTTCCATATGAAGTTTATCATAGATTTTTCCAATACTGTGAAGAATGATGTTGGTACTTGGACAGGAATAACTTTGGATCTGTAAATTGCTTTCGGTGGTATGGCCATTTAAGCAATATTGATGCTTCCTATTCATGAGCATGTAATATTATTTTTCCATTTGTTTGTGTCATATCAGATTTCCTTCAGCAGTGTTTTGCAATTCTTATTGTAGATATATTTCACCCCCTTGGTAAGCTATATTCTTAGTTATGTTGCTCTTTTTCTTTTTTATTGTACAGTTTCTCCCAACAAGAGGTATAATCTATTTTCCCTTCTTTTGACTCTGAACCTGCATTGTGACTTGCTTTGACCAATCAAATGCAGGATAAGTAACTATGTACCACTTCTGAGCCTGAGCTTTAAGTTTCCTAGGCTTCTATTTGTTCCCTGAAAACTTGTCCAGTTGCCTTGTGAACAAGCCTGTGCATAAGGCTGCTGGAGGATGAGAGACAACATAGAGCAAAGATATACTGTTCCAGCTCAGTTTCCTAAACCATCCAGCCCCCAGTCAACCCAACAGCTGGCCATGATGCCAAGGATGAACCCACATGGAACCAGCCAACTCAGAATAGTTTGCTTTTTCAACTAGCACAATAATTAATTAAAATTGTTGTTATTTTAAGCCATATAGCATTGGAGTACATTGTTACACAGAAGAAAAACCTAACTGATACACTACAAAAAAAATTAAGTATTCCTATGTGTAGTTATCCCTGTTCATGTATCTCAATAGATTTACAGTACAATGACCTCGGTTATACCAAAACTTGTTCCATATGCTTATAAGCCAAGTCTTTTTGTCTAGAGGGATACCTGTTGTTAGGGGGATCTCTAAATGCTGCTGCTGTTAATGTTTGTCCTAAGAAACATTCAGGCTAAAGGCAAACTGGTAGTAATAGAGATTAATGTGGGATATCTGGTAGTGAAAGTGTCCCCTTATTGTACATTGAAGAAGCTTTAGCTAGGGCGTAAACAAACAACTGTAAAAGTAAATATTGTTTGTGTGTAAACCTTACCAAAATAAATAGAAAGGAGTAAACACATCTGTTAAACTTATCACTTAGCATTAAATAGCTACAAAGAGAAGTTATTTGACAAAATTCAACTGCCTTTTTTGAGTTCAAATTGATTTTTGAACCCAGTTAAAGTATCGTTTTAAGGTATTGCTTAGGTATATATCACAGAAAAGAAATTATGGGGACTTACCTTCATGAGAAGCAAGACAGATTTTAGACTTTAATGTCAAATTATGATTTTAACAAAAATTAAGTTGAAGAACACTTGACAATATTTCTTTTCCACCTAATTATTATATTTTCTTCAAATAAATTAGGCCTAGAAAGCATAATATAATAGATGCAAAATATTTCTCATAGGAAAACATAAGTTGGTCTTCAAAACTGAAATAAGTATCAAAAAAGGTATTTATGCTTTCATAGTCACATAAAACTTTAGCCAAAAAGAGTAATAGTGCTTAAATAAAACCCAAAATAATTTGAAGATATTAGGTGCCCTGATTGATAACACTTTGAGAGAGCCATACTCTATCTGGTTTCTGATATTAGGTTATGACGGCTTTCAGAAGATCCACTGATTATAAAAAGAATTAAAACTAATGAAAATGAAAATGATGGTGGAATCATTTGATTTAGAATAGTAACACATTTTCAGACACTAAAGGCAATATAATTACATTAGAGGTTTTAAAAAAGACACAACATTCATTACACTGGTTATGACATGCTCTTGTTTCAACATATTAATATAAGGAAATTTAATTGAATAGAACAGTATTTCCTGGTTCAGAATCCTCTGCATTAGCTGTTCCAGAAAGATGCTGCTCTCTTCAAGTAGAAAGCAAACTTTTGTCACTGCCATCTAAATATATTACTTTCACATATATGCTTTCTAAAACATGGATAAATGAGAACAAATCTAGATCCAAGAGTTCTCCAGCTATTGTAAAGAACCATCTGCATTGGAATTATCTTGCGTGCTATTTAAAAATGAGGATTCCATTTCTATTCAAAGAAGAAAATCAAATAAACAGGTAATAGATAGAGACTGAGATAAACTTTGCAGTGTTGATGACCAATAAAAGATTAATATGTAATACATGCAAATAATTCTCCCAAATCCACCATAAAAAGACAGAAGGTGCAAAAGAAAACACAGTAACACAAAAAACAGGCAAGCAATATGAATAAATCGTTCACTGTTTGATCACTAGTTGCCTAGTGCAAAGCTTGGCAGAAAATAGTCGCTTAGATAATACTGAGTGAATGGAGGGGGTCACACAAATGACCAACAATTATGTGAAAAGATGGTAAACATCACCAGTAATTGAAATGGTGAAATGTAAAGCAACACATGTGCTGCGTTAGTATTACTAGGAGGAAAATGGAAAGTCAACTAATTTCAAATGGTGGAGGTTGGGGGAACAGCAACCCTTAATATATAGTCATTGGGAATTAAAACTGCTGTGGCCATTTTGGAAGTCATTATCAAAGTATTTAGTACAATTGAGGATTCTTATGATTGAGTAACTCTATGCCTGGGGGAAATATTTAAAAAGAAATAAACTTCTGCCAGGAGCACAAAGAGCTATGAATTATCTTGTTCAGTTAGAAAAAAAAAAAAACAGAGAAGTAATCTGTGGTAACAGAGATAGAGACAACATAGATGTCCATCTATAGCATTTCAATTTCATGCTAGCTATTGGTGCCACATAGTTTTCTGAGATCTAGAGTTGGGCATAATATGTGCAAGAATACACACAGAGCAAAAGTAAAATTGGGAGCCTGCTTAACATAAATCTGAACATTAAATGTTATACTGTTAAATGAGTGTTATATCTTCCTGCAGTGACAAGTACACCTTTAAAACAACCAAATGGAAAATGATGTGTATTCATCTGTCAAGGCTTTAGTGTTTATTTCATACAGACTGTGAGGTGGTTAGGGAAAGAGAAGGAAGTTGGTTCAGCCACATCTGGAATTGAGCTCAGTTTGGATTTTGTTGTTGCTATGGTTACTTTCATTGTACCACAAACTTCAAATTCCTCCAGCAGTGAGTCTGCTGCTACCTCTTGCTTAGTGTGAATCCTAGAGTGCTGGAGAGTTTTGTCAATATGCTTGCTTCACCCTCAACTTTCAAAGGATCATGAATAGTTCTGTTAATTCTGTAGGAGTCTCTCTCTATGATCATACAACTTTCAGCAGTAGACTTCTGTGTCTGGTCATTCAGAGTTAGGCTCATGATATAGGAGGAGACTTGGTTCTCCTAATCAAATATAGGCCTTACATTTCTTTAAAAATGATTGTTTAGGCTGGGCGCGGTGGCTCACGCCTGTAATCCCAGCACTTTGGGAGGCTGAGGCGGGTGGATCACGAGATCAGTAGATCGAGACCATCCTGGCTAACACGGTGAAACCCAGTCTCTACTAAAAATATAAAAAAAATTAGCCAGGCATGGTGGCAGGCAACTGTAGTCCCAGTTACTTGGGAGGCTGAGGCAGGAGAATGGCGTGAACCCGGGAGGTGGAGCTTGCAGTGAGCTGAGATCGCGCCACTGCACTCCAGCCTGGGCGACAGAGTGAGACTCTGTCTCAAAAAAAAAAAAAAAAAAAAAAAAAAATGTTTAATTATATTTCATTTCTCGGCAAATAACACCATTTTTGAAACCCTCAACTTTCAGTTTGGCTCCCAAGAGACTTATTTACTTTTATTTTCTGAGAATTAGCCATAACAAAATAAATATATGTTTTCTTAATTTACATTATCCATATATATAGCATATTATAATATGTCTATGAGCTGAAATATGTTGGCAAAATTGTATACTAAACATTTTGTACATGTAATGCTAAATTCAAGGGACATTCTGGGTTACTTGTTTATATTCCTTCTATTGTTATTGGCTACTCAAATAACTTAGGCAGGATGCATTATAGAATGGCATAAATTTATCTCTAATAAAATTTCTAATATTCTAATAAATGATAACTTTTTAATTCTTAAGAACACTGATAGACTAGAAACTTCAGATATCTGAGCCTTGAGAGAGTTTTTGGGTACCAAGTTATAAGTCTGTGAATATTGGCAAATGAAGGAGAAGCGTGACCAGTTTGGACAGCAATATTTGTGCTTCTCTTGGTCACACAATGATTTTTACTAAAGTGCATAGAAAGCATAAACTTGAAGCCCAGAAAAAGAAGCAAAAATAAAACTAAAAACAACAAACCTCATAGGACACAATTGTATCATTAACATGAATTGATGATATTTTTGGCCATTCACTTGATCTATACTGATTCAACTAGAGTATGGAAATAGTTTGCTGAGATTAAAGAAAGTCAGAGCAAGTACAGAATAGTGTCCTTACCTGGCTTCTCCTCTGATCCATTAAAAACACGTTTAAGAAAAACCACACCTTTGGTCAGGCACGGTGGTTCACGTCTGTAATTCCAGCATTTTGGGAGGCTGAGTCAGGTGGACCCTTGAAGCCAGGAGTTCAAGACCAGCCGGGCCAACATGGAGAAACCCCATCTCTACTAAAAATATAAAAGTTAGCTGGCCATGGTCGCAGTGAGCCGAGATCACGCCACAGAACTCCAGCCTGGGTGACAGAGCAAGACTGTGGTCTCAAAACAAAACACACACCTTTAACAGTAACTTAATATTTTGTTTCTTACTTAATTATATCAACTCAGCGGAAGTCTTATTAGAAATGTTACCCTTAAATTACAGAAGATGAATGAAGTCAACCTGATGAACAAAATTAGTAGAGTCAAAATCAGAGACAGCCTTAAATGAAATGTCATGAGACACTTGATTCGTCTCTACACAATGAATGGATTTTTGACTATTTCCAATTGTTTCACCATCTCTTAAATGCCATGTACCACATGTTCTCTATTCTTAAAGTACATGGTGAGAAGATGAGACTCCAGTGCAGAGCTCTTTTCCAAGTGGTTGAGAAGACAGTGCTCACAATTATCCATCCATTCAAATGTAGAAAAATATGAGTTAGAAGTTGTTGCTTTATTGTTTACTAATTCATTGTTTTGAAAATTATAAATCCTTGTAGAGATATAATACATTAATATTAAATTCTACAAAATGTTGAGCTTTCACCTTCTAAACAAGAATCATACATGGGCTTAAGGGAAAAAGAACAACAAAAATACTTCAGGAAATAATTATGTTGTTTCAAAATACTATATATATGTATATATACCAACATTGATTGAAAATATATACTTTCCTAGAATCAGATGCAGACGTGCAAATAATTTTTATATTTAAGATAATATTAATGGTATCATCCACCTATAAATTAACAATTGTTTCTTTCTTCTTACTATCTATGATCTTTGTTTCTTCTCCAAATTTCAGTGATCTATTTTCAGAGACAATTTCATTCAGCAATATCTCTGCATTTATAATTATGTTTTGTTTTGCTTTATTTTAATTAATATGAAATAAAGGTTAGACTGAATAAAAGTAAGACAAGATTGGTTATTAGTTTTAAAATGCCAGATAACAATGGTCAAGTTTTCTTTTTGCCAATCTTAACAAATCTTTTCTCTGTGTAAGCAGGAATCAAATCTGCATGTTATTTTATCAACTGGATTTACATTATCTGCAAAGAGTTAATGTTTTTTTTTGTCAGAAACAATGTTAAAGTTCAAAATTCTATCCATGCACAGAAGCAACAAGTTGTGTTTGATTGAAATGTAGTTCATCATCCATTTTAAGTGTAATTGTTAATGTTATAATTAACATATAGTTATTGAAAAATAGGAAACAGAAACAAAATAATACATCCAGGGATTGCCAAGAACTTAACTGAAGGACACACACACACATACACACACACTCAAAAGATTAGTAAAAATAAAATATGATTATATTTAGATAAACACAGCCAAAATGGCAAAAACAGGTATTACAATGAAATATGATAGTTTTATATATATATAATATATATATGCCTGAATATTTACATAAAATGTAACATGAGATTTCATTAGAGTTAAGGAAGAAGTTCAGGATTAATCTACCGTAATGGAAAAATAAAGCAGAATCAGATAGCGCTGACTGAATAAGAGCATTTCTAATAGAAAATAAATTCTATCTTGATGTGATTTTTGATATGATATTTTCTGCCAGTCAAGACTCTCAAAGTGGCATATTGATTTTTGTCCAAGAAAGATATATACTGCATTTATATTTTCATTGTGACATTTTTAAACACACATATAAATACCAAAGTACATCCTCTTTCCTAAGAAGTATTATATTTGATCAACTCTACTGTAATTTATCAAGACCTGTATAGCAAAGTAGAAATTTAGACATCACCATTCAAATGTTCTTAAAATGATAATTTTCTGTATATTTTCCTCTTGATCTCTTAGTCACATTTCTGCTAATGGGAATGTGGCGGTTGAAGAGCACAAAATAATAATAATAAAAAAAAAACAGGAAAACTTAAGCCTGACATTTATAAAATCCCCAGCCAGTTATTTTGTGGATATTGACAAACTGATTCTAAATTGTATGTGGAAAAGCAAAAGACCCAGAGGAGACAACGGTACACTGAAGGAGAAGAAAAAATAGGAGAACTTACATTAGCTGACTTCAGGACTAATAGCTAAGTCAGAATAATCAAGACAGTGTAGTATTGGTAAAATGATAGACATACAGGTAGAATAGAGAGCTCTGAAATAGATTCATACAAATATAGTCAACTGATCCGTGACAAAAATATGTGAATGTGCTTCAGTAGAGAAAGTATAGACTTTTAAAAAGTAGTGTTGGAACAAACATTCACATGCAAACAAAAACAAAAACAAATCTAGACACAGATCTTACATCTTTCATAAAAATTAACTTTAGTGGACCATAAACCTAAATATAGAACAAAACTATTACACTTTTAGAAGATAACATAGGAGAAAATCTAGGTGATCTTGGATTTGGCAATGACTTCTTAGCTACAACACCAAAAGCAAAATCCATAAAATAAAAAATATATATAGTTGAGCTTTATTTAAATTAAAAACTTCTGCTCTGAAAAATACAAGAGAATGAAAAGATAAGCCACAGAGTGGGAGAAAATCTTTTCAAAGGACATACCTGATAAAGGACTGGTATTCAAATGCACATAATAAACTATTTGAACTTAAAGATAAGAACACAAACGACCTAATTAACACATTAGCAAAACATGTGGCAGGCACCTGACCAAAGAAGACACATAAATGGCAAATAAGCCTATGAAAAGGTGTTCAGCAACATATGCTATTAGTGAACTGAAAATTAAAACAACAAGATACTAATACATATCTATTAGAATGGCAAAAAAAAAAAAAAAAAAACCTCCAATCACACCAAATGCTGGCAAAGAGGTGGAGTAATAGGAAGTCCTTTGCATTGCTGGTACTAATGCAAAGTAATACAGGCACTTTGGAAGACAATGTCATAGTTTCTTTCAAAACTATTTACCCAAATATGTTAAAAACTGACATCCCCACAAACACCTGTGCAAAAATGTTTATAATAATCTTTTTCATAATTTCCCAAACCTGGAAGTAACCAATATGTCCTTCACTAAGTGAATGGATAAACACAGTGTTGTATATCCATATAGTAAAATATTATTTAATGATAAAAAGAAATGGGCTATCAAGCCATGAAAATACAAAAAAGGGCTGGGCGCGGTGGCTCACGCCTGTAATCCCAGCACTTTGGGAGGCCGAGGCGGGCGGATGACCTGAGGTCAGGAGTTTGAGACCAGCCTCAACATGGAGAAACCCCATCTCTACTAAAAATACAAAATTAGCCGGGAGTGGTGCTGCATGCCTGTAGTCCCAGCTACTCGGGAGGCTGAGGCAGGAGAATTGCTTGAACCTGGGAGGCAGAGGTTGCGGTGAGCCGAGACCGCGCCATTGCACTCCAGCCTGGGCAACAAGAGCGAAACTCTGTCTCAAAAAAAGAAAAAAAATGAAAATACAAAAAGGAACCTCAAGTACATATTGTTAAGTGAAAGAAACTGAAAATGCTGTGTAGTACTTGATTTTAACCATATGACATTCTGGGTGGGAACGGCCAAACTATGGAGATATTAAAGGATCTGCAGTTATCAAGGGCTTTCAATGGAGTTAGAAAAGGATGAATAGATGGAACACAGGGAAGTTTTAGGGCAGTAAAACTATTGTGTATGATACTATAAGAGTAGATACATGTTATTAAACATTTGTCAAAACACATACTATATGCAAGAGTGAACTCTGATGTCACTATGGAGTTTAATTATAATGTATCAATATTAGCGCATCCATTATAATCAATGTATCACAAAAACTAAATGTGTTAATAACAAGATAAATTGCTAATTGCTGGGGGTCAGAGTGGACGGTGACATGGAGTGTATTGCAACTCTGTACTTTTCTCTCAATTTTCCTGTAAACCTAAAAACTTCTCAAAAATAGAGTTTATTAATATTTTTAAATTGAAATTTATAATATCAATGATTTCTCACAATTGGTAAGGTACAGACTTAATCTCTCCCCACATGTTTTTCCAAACACATTTCTGGCATTGGCTTGCTTCTTTACTCACTCTGTCCCCAGGTAATGGAGGATGATTTAACTAATTGGTAAAACTGAGAAGAATAACTTAGCTTCATTTTTTTTCCTTGCTTGGAATTACATTACTCTTCCAGAGTGTTCCCTTCATCAACACATATCTGGTGGGTACTGGTTCAATACTGCCTTCTACTGGCTAAGACCTTCTACTTCTGGCATTCAGTAGGTAGCACTTGTGGATTTTACGCTAAGCTGCACCCATCACTTTTGATTTTATCATCTATAAGGTGATATCTTGGTCCTTGAATAGCAATGTCTTTATTTTTCAGTTTGTTCAGAAATTAGGCAGAGGGATATAGGTGCAATTTATTAGGGGACATGTAAAACTCCTCAGAAGGCATTCCTGATAAAGCAAAACTGTTTTTTCCTAAGGCAAGTATTCCTTCTACACTTTGGAGTAAAAGTCATAATTCACTATTTTCTAAAAATTTAGTATTAGAAAAATGTGAGAAAGCATCTAAAGAATTAAACATTTTCCATGGTAGAAGTGGAAAACAAAGCATAAAACCAAAAACAAAACCTGTTGTTCCAAATCCGGTGATAAGTAATGCTCACAGACAAGAGCAAAAGATTTAACTATCCTGGACTGCAGGGCTTTGTATAACATGAATCATGACATTTAAAGATTATTTTAGATTGTATTCTAGTATGCTTATTTTATTCATAATCTTATTTTTAATTTTTTAGTAATGTCCCTGAGTCACAATATTAATAATCTTATTGAAAACCCTACCTCATTGCTATAGAAGTGTTTTCTTACCACATTTTTCCTTTTCTTTGATCAAATACTCTAATATGGCATTTCAATTTCCATTACAAAAAGAACCAAAGTAATTTTACTTGCATTTGACAATTAGCCAAATGCTTTTAAGTAATAGTCTGCTTTAAAATCTAGTAGTGAGCATCAATGAATATCAGTGCATTCTTTATTCCTAGGACCCAGAAGAAACTACCAAATTAAGTTCTATGCTAAAAGGAAAGAATATTAACTGGTATCTCAGGATACAAGAAGAATTAAATATTTAACTACACAATGTGTGATCTCTTTTTACAGTAATTCTTAATGACAGTAATTTATGTCTGATGTACATTGGCAGTCATCTAATTTTCTTTTTTGTGCTTTTTGTTTATCTGCCTGAATGAGAACCACCTTTTATGATCAAGTGAATATATGCCATGAAAGAATGTTCCTAAAATAGATTCAAGGTGTAGCATACTGTTGTTCAAACAACTTTCCAGTTAATTTCTACATATCCAGAGGGGAAAAAAAACAGCAATGGTTTTCTATCCAGGAACCATTAAACATAGGAGCTTAAAATGCCTATTTTTTAATACTAAAACTTCTTATTATCAAATTATCTTTCTTAACTATCAGATGTTAAGTCCCAAGTATGTGCTTTCAATAGCACTGAAGGCGTAACCCTGTGAGCAAGGTTGCTGGTCCTCCAATAAGTTCTCAGAGCACAAATCTCTGTTTCTTCAACTCAGGTTTGACTTACATTATGTGCTTCCTAGCTCTTCTTCATCAACCTCTTTATCAGCCCCAAACATACCAGCTATGCCAACCTATTTGAATTTTCCCTAAAATGTTTTCAGCTTCATTGCTCTCATGCGAGTGCTAGTAACTCAAAGGTACATTGCCTGATAGGTAACACATAATAAAGCAATTATGTTTCATTTATCCTTCAGCTCAACCTTCCTCATAGAAAAAATGCCTGAGTAAAAGTTAAATCTGAAATTTTCTGATATCAGAAAATAAATGGTAGTTAAGTTAGTGTAGATATTACAGATAATCCACTTTGGGCAAATATACGTAACACCCTGAAAATTGTGTGTAGTTTGTTTACTGTTACAGATCATATAAACGTTCCCAGAAAGCTTGATACTCATTAGCAAATGATTTTGCACAGTTAACACTTCTTCTATAATGGCAAAAACTCTAAATTTAGCTACTTGAATACTAGATTTCCCAAAGCAGATATAACCACATTGTTTTAGAGCTCACAATTGCATGCACTAGGATTCTAAAGAACTCAGGCTAAATTTTGAATGTAGATCTCCATTTCACAGTCGATAGGGGAACTGAAATAGCCTCTATGGTTCTGAATAGCTCCTAGGATAGGTTTAAAAAATATTTCCCGGAAACTAAATGCACAAATGTAAACAGTAGATTATGGCAATGGCCTCCAAAGAGCCTTTCTTGGCACAGCACTTAAAAACTTACAGGTGAACATATTGTTAGTTTCCACTCCATGACCAACTCCATTTAGCAACAATACATGTTCATTTTTCTATAAATCTGGTCCCTGTGATGGTAAATCCAGCACAGGAAATGACTCTCAGCAGGAATACCTGTAACTACAAAAAACAGGATATCTTGCCACAACTCAGATCAGACAAAATTACATTGGGGAAATTGCAAGGTCAGTGTGCAAGTAAAACTAAATCTTTAGTTTCATCTCTCACTTCCTATTTGCCAGCTTTCATAATCATTTCTTTATCTGTTACCCAGTACTTAGTTAATTTTTTATTTTGGCACACATAGTAGGGACTCAATAAATACTGTTGACTAAAAGTCAGTTCCTGCTCCTTGTCTTGGGCTATGATAAATTCAGTCTTTACCTATACTTTTGTTTTCTCTTGACTCTGATATAGTATTCCTGTCATAAGCTTGTTATTTTCTAGAATATTAATATTCTCTAATCCAGTCTTCTCTAATAGTTTAAATCTTTTCCAGCCGTAATTACTTTCCTCCACACTTGACTGACTGATCTCATTTCACCATTCTTGTAGCCTCATAAATTTCACCTAGGCCTTACATAGGAATATTTATTTGATCTTCTGGAAAGCATTTATAGGCCATTTTAGATTATCTTCTCAGTTTAATAAGAATGCTGCCTGACAAGAAAAGAAGAATATGCACTACAAAAAAAGCACAGGGAACCTAGTGTCTACCACAGTGTCAGTCATAAGACTTCATTAAATTACTTATTCATTCACTTCTTCTGCTGTCACATATTAACTAAGAAACTACTATCTCTTAATCATACTGATGAGTGCTTCATTCAAGAAATATATAAATTACTAGAATGTCACCCGTTCTCTCTGGTAGCTCAATCTGAAAGAGACAAATACGTCTACAAATAACTACAATGTGTTAAGTTCTATAATACAGATTTGCAAAAGTTCTGTGGCAACATATATGTTCCCTCTTTGAAGAAATGAAAGGAGGCATCTCAAAGGAAATGGAATTTAGTTGAGCTGAAGGATAAGAATTAGATTGCACTGTATTAAAAGTTGGTGAAGGGCTTCCCAGGCAAAGAAAGAGCATGTGCAAAGAGCATGGCACTCATGAGAATGATTTTTTCAGAAAAAAGGAAAACAATATTTGTAGCCATTGGATGAGGTAAAAGGGAGGTAACATTTAGAGAAAAGGCAAAAAAAAAAAAAGTCAGATTTTCACATTATTTCAGAGAGCCTATATAGAAAAGAACAAAATCTGGACTTTGTGCTGTGGATTATAGATAGGCAATATCAGTTGTTTTGCAGTTTTCATTTGTAGAAAAATGACCTGAATCCTGCTACATAAGATAATTTAAATACAGAAGGGATTTTTTTTTAGAAAAAAAAATGATAAAACAATTTTGGTCTTTTCCTAGCAGGAGGATTATTGACAAATGTCAAGTTTCAAAATTTGCCCTCAGAATATTTTTATTGTGCAAAGAAAAATAATGGTGACTAAGTAGCAATAAGCAATTTTTATTAGAAACCGTTGTAAAGAAAATGTGAACAGAAGCAGAAAATAGGGAAAGGGGCAACAAGAGATAATGGATGCAATGTCAAGAAGAAAGAAGGAAGAAAGTTCAAAATGATTAAAGGAGATGTAACTATTGTTCATGCCCTGATTTTTACTAGTTTTTTTTCTATCCTTGAATCTGCAATGTTTCTAAGCAAAGACTCAAGTATTTATATGGCAAAGGTAACAGCCTCCAAAATGTTTAAGGATAGATTTTATGTCTTCTTCTCTTTACTTCATGTCATTCTACCACCAATAAATATAATAGTTTTATTTATTTTATTAATATAGTTATTATTATAATTACTGGGACTAACTGAAGTGCTACTATATGCCAGGCAAGCTTCTTTACACACTTTATTTCTGTTTATTTTAAAAATAATATTCCAAGTTAGTTTTCATGCTCCTTAATTTCTTATCTAATTGATTATCAAGTGGT
Source organism: Homo sapiens (assembly GCF_000001405.40). NCBI lineage: Eukaryota > Metazoa > Chordata > Mammalia > Primates > Hominidae > Homo > Homo sapiens. The sequence continues at coordinate 89,401,245 of NC_000023.11, read as the reverse complement.
CTGGGTAAAATCTGAAATATGTCTAATGATACCTCTCCTTTCAAGTGACACTGTCATTTTCCTTGTTTAGGCCTTAATGTCTTTTTCTTATAAACTATTAAAGCAACTTTATAAATAGTTTTTCTGCTAATAATTTCTTTCTTTCCCTCCAGTCTGCATTCCACAGAGCTATGTTACTATTTTCATAACAAAAACTTGACCACTCCTTTGATTGACCTATATTAAGGATGTTACTAAGCCTAACCAGCCTGTGTTAATAAAAAATATTAACCATCAGGAAAGAATTCACAGACCCTTTGAAAGAAGTGGTTTGCCACTGCAAACTCCATGTGACAGCCAAAAAACTGTGAGTTCCCAAAGCGTGAGGGGGAAAAAGTGTGCCTCTGAACACACATCCCCACTGGGGAACCTGAAAATCTAGATCACAGCAGAAAGATTCAACCTTACCTAGAACTGAAATTGTTTTAGGGAGCTGAGAGAAATATAAAAGTAGAAGAAGCAGTGGGAAGAGCCCTGTGGGCACTCCAGGTCCCCAGCTCAAGCCCAGGGAACCATTCCTGGTTTTATCTCACACGGGCCCTTGGGGAGGGCAGCCAGTGGAATTGGGGAAAGGCCTCAGAATTAAAGAAACTTCTAGCTGAACTTTGTAATAATTTTGACAGAGCATGAATTTTTTTGGGCAGAATCCTGGGGCATGGGGGTGTGGGGAAAATGAGAAGTGCAGACACAAGTGCAAAAGCTGCACCCATGGTGCAGGCAGGCAAGGAGGGGTGAGGCCTGAGAGCCCTGCTTGCTGTATTAGCTGGGAGGCTTGTAGCCTGTGGCAAGATGTTAGCCCTTTTCACCAGCGGCCTGGGTATAACCTGAATATAAACTTGGTGCTGCTGGTGGGGCACAGTGGGAGTGAGAATGGCCTTGCTGGCTGCATGGGACCTGGTTGAGGCCTGTCACTGCTGGCATTCGCCCACTTCCCTGGCAACCTGTATGATGCCACAGTGGCAGCCATAATCCAAATGGGAACATATCTCCATTGGCCTGAGAACCATACCCCCATCCTCTGTAGTGGCCATAGCAAGGCCTGCCCAAGAAAAGCCTGAGCTCAGACACACCTAACCCAGCCCCCACCAGATGGTTTTTCTCTCCCTACCCTGGTAGCTGAAGATAAAAGACATGAACTGTGGGGAGCTCTGTAGCACCACCCATTTTCTGAGAAACTAGAATACTTATCATAGGCAACATAGGGCAAGCTTATATCTCCCTTCTGCTACTGCAGCTTGAGCTCTCTTGAAAGCACCACCTCCTGGCTGGAGGCCAACCAACTCAAGCCATTATAGCAACTCATAACAAGACTATATCGTGCTCCATCAAAAAAGAAAACAACAGCCAATTCCACCACCTATAACACCCTAGCTAACCAGAGGACCTGAGTCTGTCACATGAAAAATTCACTGTTAGCATAACCAACATCTGAGAAAACCAGTGCATTAAACAAAACTACAACCAAGGACTCCCACAGAGTCAACCTCATTCCCCTGCCACCTCCATTGGAGCAGGGGCTGGTATCCAAGGCTGGGAAACCTAAAGATGAATCACATCACAGGACTCTGCAAACATTCCCCAGCAACATCCTGGAGCCTGCTAGCCCTGCAAAGTAGCTAGACATGGAAGGGCATTACCAATCACTGCAGTCGGGATCTCAGGAAGCCCCATACTTAGGGGAACAGGGATAGCACAACATCACATCACATCACAAAAAACTGTGAGTTCCTAAAGTGTGAAGGGGAAAAAGTGTGCCTCTGAACACACATCCCCACTGGGCAACCTGAAAATCTAGATCACAGCAGAAGGATTCAACCTTACCTAGAACTGAAATTGTTTTAGGGAGCTGAGAGAAATATAAAAAGTAGAAGAAGCAGTGGGAAGAGCCCTGTAGGCACTCCAGGTCCCCAGCTCAAGCCATGTGACAAAATGTGTCTCACGTGACAAAAGAATATGAACAGCAGCCCTTGATTTCCAGATCCTTCCACTGAAACACTCTACCCACATGAGAAGGAATCAAAAAAGTAATTCTGGTAATATGAAAAAACAAGTTTCTATAACGCTCCCAAAAGATCACTCCGGCTCTCCAGCAATGGATCCAAACCAAGAATAAAACTCTGAAATGCCAGATAAAGAATTCAGAAGGTTAATTATTAAGCTACTCAAGCAGGTACCAGAGAAAGGTGAAAATGAAGTTAAATACATTAAAAAATATAGGATATGCATTTTAAAAAGTCTCCAGAGAAATAGATATCATGAAGAAAAGACAATCACAACTTCTGGAAATGAAAGATATACTTAGAGAAATGCAAAATACATTGGAAAGTTTTAACAACAGAATCAAAAAAGGAGAAGAAGGAACTTCAGAGCTCAAAGACAAGGCTTTCAAATTAATCAAACAAAGAAAAGGAAAAAGAATTTAAAAATAAAGCCCACAAGAAGTATGGGATTATGCTAAATAACTAAACATATGAATAATTGCTGTTCTTGAGAAAGAAGAGAAATCTTAAAAGTTTGAGAAATATATTTCAGGAAATAATTGAGGAAAACTTCCCTGGTCTTGCTAGAAATCTAGACATCCAAATACAAGAAGGACAAAGAACACCTGGGAAATTCATCTCAAAAAAGATAATCATCTAGACACATAGTCATCAGGTTATCTAGTCAAGACAAAAGAAAGAATCTTAAGAGCTATGAGGCAAAAGCATGAGGTAACCTATAAAGTAAAACTGATAAGATTAATAGCAAATTTCTCAGCAGAACACTACAAGCCAGAAAGGATTGGGGTCTTATCTTAGACCTTCAAACAAAATATTTATCAGCCAAAAAGTTTGTATTCAATGAAACTGAGCTTTATAAATGAAGGAGAGATAAAGCCTTTTTAAGACAAATAAATGCTGAGAGAATTTGCCACTACCAAGCCAGCACTACAAGAAATGCTAAAATGAGTTCAAATCTTGAAACAAAACTTCTAAATACACCGAAATAGTACCTCCTTAAGGAATAAATCTCACAGGGCCTCTAAAACAATAACACAATAAAAAAAAAACCAAGGTATTCAGGCAACAACTGGCATGATGAATACAACAGTACCTCCCATCTCAATACTAACATTGAATGTAAATGGCCTAAATGTGCCACTTAAAAGATACAGAATGGAAGAATGGATAAAAATACACCAACCAAGTATTTGCTTTCTTCAAGAGAATAATCTAACACATAAGGACTCACATAAAATTAAAGAGGTGGAAAAAGATATTCCATGCAAATGACACCAAAAGTGAGGAGTATTTATTTTTATATCAGACAAAATAAACTTTAATGCAACAACAGTTAAAAAAGACAAAGAGGGACATTGTATAATAATAAAATAACTAGTCCAACAGGAAAATATCACAATCTTAAATATTTATGCACCAAACACTGGAGTTCCCAAATTTATAAAAGCATTACTACTAGACCTAAGGAATGAGATAGAAGGCAACACAATAAGAGTGGAGGACTTCAGTACTGCACTGACAGCACTAGACAGGTCATCAAGAGAGAAAGTCAACAAATAATAAATGGACTTAAACGATACCTTTGAATAAATGGACACAACAGATATTTACAGAACATTCTCCCCAACAACTGCAGAATATCCATTCTTTTCATCAGAAAATGGAACATTCTCCAAGATAGGACATATGATAGGACATAAAACAAGGCTCAAGAAATTGAAGAAAATCAAAATTATATCAAGTCCTCTTTCAGATCACAGTGGAATAAAATTGGAAATTAACTCCAAAAGGAAACATTCCCCTACAAATACATGGAAATGAAGTAACCTGCTCCCGAATGATCATTGGGTAAACAGTAAAATCAAGATGGAAATTTAAAAAGTCTTTGAATTGAACAATAATAGTAACACAACTTATCAAAACTTCTGGGATAGAGCAAAAGCAGTACTAAGAGGAAAGTTCATAGCATTAAATGTTTCCAACAAAAAGTCTGAAAGAACACAAATAGACAATTTAAGATCACACTTCAAGGAACTAGAGAAACAAGAACAAAATAAACTCAAACCCAGCAGAAGACAATAACAAAGCTAAGAGCAGAACTAAATGAAGTTGAAATTAATTTAAAAATGCAAAAGACAAAACGAAAAGCTAGTTCTTTGAAAAGATAGACAATGTCAATAGGCCGTTAGCTACACTGACCAAGAAAAAATAGAGAAGATACAAATAAGCTCAATTAGGAATGAAATGGGAAATATTACAACCAATACCACAGAAATATAAAAGATCATTCAAGGTTACTATGAACAGCTTTATGTGCACAAACTATAAAACCTAGAGAACATGAATAAATTCCTGGAAATATACAACCCTCCTAGATCAAACCAGGAAGAAATAAAAACTCTGAACAGACCAAAAACAAGTAGTGAGATTGAAACAGTAATAAAAAATTGCAAACAAAATAAAGCCCAGGACCAGATAAATTCACAGCTGAATTCTATCAGATATTCAAAGCAGAATTGGTAGCAATCATACTGAAAATATCCCAAAAGATAAAGAATAAGGGATTCCTCCCTAAATTATTCTATGATGCCAGTATCACCCTAATACCAAAACCAGGAAAGAACATAACAAAGAAAGAAAACTACAGACCAATATTCCTGATGAATATAGATGTGAATACCCTCCACAAAATACTAGCTAACTGAACTCAACAATATGTCAAAAAGATAATCCACCATGATCAAGTGGTTTTAAACCAGGGGTGCAGGTTTGGTTTCACATATGTAAGTCAATAAATGTGATACACAACACAAACAAAATTAAAAGCAAATATCATATGACCATTTCAACATACACAGATAAAGCATTTGACAAAATCCAGCATTCCTTTATGATTAAAACCCTCAGCAAAATCAGAATAGAAGAGACATACCTTAAGGTGATAAAAGCCATCTATAACAAACCCACAGCCAACATTTTACTGAATGTTCCATTCTACTAGAACAAGAAAAGGATGCCCACTCTCACCACTGCTATTCAACATAGTACTGGAAGTCCTAGCCAGAGCAATCAGACAAGAGAAAGAAAGGGAATACAAATAGATAAAGAGAAAGTCAAACTGTCACTGATAATATGATTGTATACCTAGAAAATCATACTCGTCCAAAAAGCTCCTATAACTGCTAAATGAATTCAGTAAATTTTCATGATACAAAATTAACGTACACAAATCAGTAGCACTGCTATATACCAACAGCCACCAAGCTGAGAATCAAATGAAGAACTCAACCCCTTTTAATATAGCTGCAAATAAACAAAAATAAAATATGTAGGAATATTCCTAACCAAGGAGGTGAAAGACCTCTATAAGGAAAACTACAAATTACTGCTGAAATAAGTCATAGACAACACAGACAAATGGAAACACATCCCACACTCATGAACGGATAGAATCAATATTGTTAAAATGACCATACTGCAAAAAGTAATCTACAAATTCAATGCAATTCCCATCAAAATACCACCAGCATTGTTCACAGAACTAGAAAAAACAATCCTAAAATTCATATGGCATATGGACAAAAAAAAAAGCCTTAATAGCCACAGCAAGACAAAGCAATAATAACAGAACTGGAGGCATCACATTACCCAACTTCAAAAAATACTACAAGTCTATAGTTACCAAAACAACATGGTACTGGCATAAAACCAGGCACATAGATCATTGGAACAGAATAAAGATCACAGAAATAAAGCCAAATAATTACAGCCAACTGATCTTTGACTAAGCAAACAAAAACATAAAGTGGGGAAAGGACACCCTATTCAACAAATGGTGCTGGGATAATTGGCAAACCACACGTACAAGAACAAAATTGGATCCTCATCTCTCACCTTTTACAAAAATCAACTCAAGATGGACCAAAGACTTAAATCAAATACCTAAAACCATAAAATTTCTAGAAGATAACATCAGAAATCTTTTATAGACATTGGCTTAGGAAAAGAGTTTATGACCAAGCACCCAGAAACAAATGCAACAAAAGCAAAGATAGATGGGACTTAAACTAAAAAGCTTCTGCATAGCAAAAGAAATAATCAGCAGAGTAAACAGACAACCCACAGAGTGGAAGAATATATTTGCAAACTATGTATCTGACAAAGGACTAATATCCAGGATCTCTGAGGAACTCAAATAAATCAGCAAGAAAAAACAAAAAACAGAAAACAAATAATCCCATCAAAAGGTGGGCAAAGAACATGAATAGAGATTTCTCAAAAGAAGATATACAAATGGCCAACAAAAAAATGAAAAAATGCTCAACATCAGTAATGATCAGGGAAATGCCAATCAAAACCACAGTGAGATACCACCTTACTCCTGCAAGAATGACCATAATTAAAAAAATAATGAAATAACAGATGTTGGCATGGATGTGGTGAAAAGGGAACATTTTTACACTGCTGGTGGGAATGTAAACTAGTGCAATCACTATGGCAAACAGTATGGAGAGTCCTTAAAAAACTGAAAGTAGAACTGCCATTTCATCCAGCAACCCCACTACTGGGTATCTACCCAGAGGAAAAGAAGTCATTATATGAAAAAGACACTTTCACCCACATGTTTATAGCAGCACAATTTGCAATTGCAAAAATGTGGAACCAGCCTAAATGGCCATTAACCAACGAGTGGATAAAGAAAATGTGCTATACATTTGTACCATGGAATACTACTCAGCCATAAAAAGGAATGAAATAATGGCATTCACAGTAACCGGGATGGAGTTGGGGACCATTATTCTAATTGAAGCAACACAATAATTATAAACCAAACACAGGATGTTCTCACTTAGAAGTGGGAGCTATGCTATGAGGATGCAAATGAATAAGAATGATATAATGGACTCTGTGGACTCAGGGGGGAAGGTGGGAGGGGGTGAGAGATAAAAGGGTACACATTGGGTTCAGTGTACACTGCTTGGGTGATGGGTGCACCAAAATCGCAGAAATCACCACTAAAAACTCATCCATGTAACCAAACACTACCTGTTTCCCAAAAACTATTTAAATAATATTATAAATGAACCTTCATAAACATAAGTTATCTAACTCAGTCCCTCTAAATAGTTGATGCAAGAAGTCTATAACCCCAGAAAATACCTCTCACCCAATATTTTTAGAAATAGCTGTATATTGTCCAAGGGTAAAGTTATGTTTCTAGGTGCATTCCACCTTTATAAATACTTTAAATCTCCTCTATTTTAGAAGCCATTCTTTTTCACAATAAGTTAAGTAGTTAACCTAATAGCAAGTGTAAGTGGTTAGCAGAAGCAAAGCAAACCAAAGTAACTGCTAACATTTAAAAAACAGAAGTATCACCAAAGAGATTATTGTACATTTCAAATGGATAACTTCTAAAAAATGATTCTGACTGCAACCCCAATAGTTCTATCAGCTACAGCCATTATTAATGGCTACAGTTCTATCAGCTACAGCATTATTAATGCTTCTCACCATCTGAACATAACTAAACCAAAATAATATGGTTATGTATGGAAATTTGAAATCTCTACTTGAGAGCATCTACTACACAGTGTTTCCTCAACAAATATTTGTTTTGATTTTCTTCTAGAATATATATTGATTTTGGTGCAAGGCAACTACGCTTTGAAAAATATATTTGTTTTCATTTCCTGTGTAACAAATTACTACAAATTTAGTAGCTAAAAACAATACATATTTATTAGCTCACAGTTCTCTAGGTCCTAAGTCTAGTACAGCACAGCTTACTTCTGTGCTGAAAGTATTACATGGTTGAAATTAAGGTGTACATTTCAAGGGGTGGAAATCAAAGTAAAATTACATAAGGGCTCTTATATGGAGGCTCTGGGGGAAAACCACTTCCAAATTCATTCTAGTTGTTGGCAAAATTCAGTGTCTTGTGGTCATATGACGGACGTCCTTTTTTCTTGCTGGCAGCCAGCCAGGGAGCTCTCTTAGCTTCTTAAGATTGCTCACATTTCTTCTCATGTGGCCACCTCCTTCTTCAAACCGGAAATGGTGTGCTGAATCTCATTACAACTTTAAATCTTTCTGGTTTTCTTTTTTTCTGCCACCAGCCTGACAAAGCTGTCTTCTTTTAAGGGTTCATGTGATTGCATGGGGCAAACCAAATTATTTAGGATAACTGCTCTCTTTTTAGGATCCACTATGCCATGTAATATAACATTTTCAAAAGAGTCACATCTCATCATTGTGTCAGGTTCTGAGGATTAAGGTGAGATATCCCTGGGAGATCATTTTAGAAATTTTGCTTATCATATGAGGTCACATGGCAATGCTATAGGAACCTTTTACAAAATAACTCTTTATAACTAGGAAAACTGAGACATCTCTCAAGGAAGAATATATTCCTAAGAAAATAAGAAGAAACAAAATTCTCCACGATATGCTTATTTCACATTGCATGCTTCTATCAAAACATCTCATGTACCCCATAAATATATATGCCTGATGTGTACCCACAACAATTAAAAGTAAATTGAAAATCCCTTTGAAAGCCGACTTCTGATCTTATAACATGGATATCTACCATTTAGACAAAGGATTCAATTTATCCGAGTGAAAGATAACATGCTGCTTCCAATAAGCACTCATCACAGTAAGGAGGTTTGGGCTTTTGCTAAAAGAGATTATTCTTTAATTAGTGTGGGAACGTTGTAGAACCACAAACAGAAACTGAATTATATTTCAGAGCAATTCTGCGAACTAAGATAAACTTCATGATGTGCAGTATCAAAAGGAAAGATTGACCAGAATAAGTAGTATTCTTTTTCAAACATGGGCAAGCACACACACACACACACACATACACACACACACACACACCACGCATATTTACCTGAGCTACCATCTATGAAAGGAGGGGGAGTGGACTAGAGAATAATCTCTAAATTCCTGAAGGTTCCTTTAAGCTTCCATAATCTGATATAGGATAAATAAAAAGCATTTAAATGAAAACAGTATTTAATTACATGTTAGGTTGTATTTTGTTTTCTTTTTCTTCTCTTTTGACTTCTGTTAATCATTACAAAGAACCTACAACAATTTGAATACACAAACAAGATTGCAGAGACAATAGTTAAACCTCCTAAAGGAATAAAATATTTGACATCACTTATATACATATCAACCATCATGGACAAAGCAGATTAACATGAATTGTGCAGGCTAACCCTGTGGTAGGTTGGTTTCTTATTTGTTTTATCTTATGTATAATTTCCTCACTTTACTGAAGTCTCTATACAAATATTACCTCTTCATAGAAGCCTTCTACAGACTTCCTATCTACAATATGGCCATTTTTATTCTTTACTTATTCCTTTTAGTTAATTGTTTTATATGACTTATCACTACCTGATATGATACTATATATTTGTTTGGTTATTTTCTGACATTGCCACTAAAATTTAAGCTCCATGAGGCTGGGGAATTTGCATCTTTGATCCTAATATGTCCTTTGTATCAGAACAGTGCTTAGCATATAGTAGGTACTTAATATCCTCAATTTATTGACAAAGAGATACATTTACAAATATAATAAATCCTATAGAGATATAATATTTATACACACATATCCATATATACTTATCTTGCTTTACAGAAATTCTGATCTAGCTTAACATTCCTTCTAATCAGTTTATATCTGTGAAAATGTGAAATTTAAATTTGCTGTAGAAGACTATCAGGTGCTAACTGCATATCAGTTTATAAGTGTTTCAATAAGCACAAAGATAAGCACCAATTTAAAACGCATTTTCTAAGTCTTAGTTCTATTGCAAGGTCTACACATTTTATACTGATGTAAATATTTTTATCAAGATCATATTACCAATAAGCTAATTATTATTTAATTATGCTATATTGTAAAAGCTTTTGGAATTACACATGAAACAATTTTATTTGTAAAATTAGGGCATGTCAATCTTTTCAAGAAATGACAGGAAGATAATCTATGCCAAATGTGATTATTCTAAGGAAAAGTATACCTTCAATAGCATTTTCTAATTATCAAACCAGGAAAAGGTAACTTACAAAACAATATGCTATCCATGAAAGTTTGATATTGATGAAAAGGTTGGTTTACCATTTTAAGTACCTTTCAAAAGATGTGTGACAAAACTACTCTTACAGCCAAATAATCAGAATTGCTGCTGGCATAGCTCTGTTCTACTCTTCATTTGGGTAACATGATAAGATGCTACACTTGAATTCTTCAAAAACCTGAGCTATGACACTAATGACTGAGTTAGCTGTGCATTAATGTTAATGTATATATTAATAAATCTCTTTTTCATTCATCAGAGCTCCAAGAGAGAATACAGGATAGGTGGAGTAAAAGATAAGGAGACCTTGTTAAAGACTTAAGTTGCACATAGCATGTTTAACACAGTTATCTTATAAAAACCATATGTTTCACTGCAGTTAGTAATAATGCCCTAACACTGATAGGTTATATTTTTGATACTTAGACATTTTTCTTTCCCGTGATTCTGTTTTGAGTCCAATCTTGACTTATAACATGATGAGACAAATGCACAAATTCGTAATTTACAGCAAAATATAAATTGTGAAGCCTCGATGTCTAATGAATTCCAGCAATTCTACACAATCTCACCAACCTTCCTCTGTTTTCTAACTTTCTGCTCAGCCTGTCATTTAAGATTAAGTGTAAACATGCAATTCTGTAACAGTAAAAAGAAGTATAATCCTATACTGACAGAATTACTTCACTGAGACACTAGGGACAGAAAAGACTTAATTATCTTTTTAGGCTCTGCAGATGAAGCAAATTCATCAGTGTTGTCTAAACAACAGAGGTAGGCACATTAGGAAGCAGATACTAATTTTGCTGTAGCCACAATGCAATAGTCTATAAGCCATGAAGGCTGAGCTGCATACTTCCAGCCTACAAGCATTGCCGAGTTTACTGTAGAATCTGTTAAAATAGCTCTTCTGTTACTGTTGGTCATAACTGAGATATCATTAAAGATTAATCAGTGGCAGAATAAAATGTTTAAATCTATGCTTTTGAGGGAATAATTTTAAGCAGCTCTTAAGATGTTCAAATACAAAAATATTCCTTTTTCCATTTATATAACTTAAAATATAATTAATATATTTTGAAATATTGTGTTAACTATACAAATATTATAATTTTGCTTCTGCTTTCTCTCAGTTAAATCTTATGCATTACAATATATTTGTGAGCCTCAGACTTTTGAAAGATCTCTACATTGCAATATTCTTTAGTACTTCATAGAATATTCATGGAAAAGTAATAAAATATTTGGAGATGATTAAGAAAGTGCATAAAATATTTTTAAATAATCATATTTTCATGGATAATTATGTTTTAAAATCTACTTCATATGAGAGAAAGTGACTTAGCTCTGTCTATAAAACTAATTAAAAATTTCATTTTAAATGTCTCTTTTTGCTGGTTATCACATACCTTTAGTAATTTGCTTATCTTGCAGGACATTGCTCCCTCGACAGTGGCAGATGTATCTGAAAATATGATAGCTTTTTAACAATATCCTGCCATGTTTGACTACTCTTTTAACTGTTCTTCCCTTCATTTAGAAATTAAATGGATTTTTTTATGCATGAAAAGTGTCTGAGTTATTAATAAGAGTATATGAGAATTAGGTAAAATGAAACAAAGTAAGTTTTTAAAAAAAGGTCTAATTTTAGGTGAGAAATAGATGCATATATTTCTTTAATATCCTCTGTAATATCCATCAATAAAATTGTATATTTCTCTAATATGGTTTTGTCACTGAACATTTTTACCACTACACTTAGGAACAAAATATGAATGATGGTAGTTGTTTTGCTCTGCGTTAAACTAGCTGTCATATATGAAAGCTGGGAATTTATTTCACAGAACCAATGTCATCCTCAGCACAAGTTTGAATACAGAAAAAGGTTTGGCATCATTGAGAATTCTTTTTTAAGGAATAGAACAGACTTTGTTCAAATCCAAATGAAAGAAATCTTTAAACATCAGGTTAGTTTGATGCCTTTAATCTCAAGTTGAGAGAAATTTCACATCTCACTTTTGAAGGAGACAAGAAAGATGTTCAACTACAATGGCATTGGCAAACAAATAATAAAAGTAAAATTACGGTATATGTTCATAACTTTTACAAAACATAATTGGTTAAAAAAGGCAAATCCAGTTAAATAACTATTTCTGCCTTTATGACAATAAGTGGGTGGGTTGAAAAGCTTTTCTTTATAATAAGTATTTATTCAGCAAAGTCTATTTGAGCACTCTGAAGAGGCAATGTACCTGAATTAATAGGACATGAATGCTTTAAATTGGAAAGAGTGTATGAGATACACAGAAATTAATTAAAACTTGAATCAGAATTCTACCAGTATATTCATATTCTTATATACAATTGTCAGCCTATAAAGATCAGGTCTTATGAGAGGGTGACCTAGTTTATATGCATGTATTTAATTACTCATTTCTACTTCTTATTCCACAAAACTATTTGACATGTGTAAGGTTGGAATTTCATGACACTCATTAAATTTTCAATGACTCTATGGTTTAAAGAAATCATTTGCTTAATATGTATCAAAGATTGAAATATTTGGTTTCTAAGACACAACTTACGAACATTTTATTAGTGACATCATTATTGTTTCTATTTGAGCAAAAATTATTTCTAGATTATTTTGTTTTATACAAAAAATAATGGTTATACAATCCACATAAATCAGTCATTTTCTTCAGCCTAAAAATGGCATGATGATTTCCCAAGTGTCTACAAATACATCCTTCTCAGAATGTTTGTCAAAATAATTTTCCCCAATTTTATAATTCATTTATGTAGTTAAACGCAACATTGCTTGTTAATTGGAGAATAGATTTTACTTCAATACACTTCAAACCCTGATTTGTGTTAGCCCTTCTGTTTTGTACAGCATCGCTTCAGTTGGGGAGAGTTGCTTGCCTATTAAGCATCTGCGGGATCAGGTGTGAAGGATTTTATATGCACTGATGACAAAAGAACAAAAAGATGTATGAATATTATATAGACATTACTTTCCAGTCACAATTCCTTTACTATCATTTCATAATTATATTCAGTATGTGGGCTCAGAACTTAACTTCACATCTTACTTCAAGATGGCTTTGGCTGAAGTTTTCTTTTCCATCAAAAAGTGTAATACATCACATTTAAAATAAAACAGGGAAACCCTAATTAATGCAGTTTTGGGATTTTTTTTTCTCTATATGGATAAGAAAAAAATTAAACATATCATCTTAATTTTCATTGTTGCCATAAGAAATCACTACAAATTTAGTAGCTCAAAACAACATCTATGTTTTATCTCACATTTCTTTATTTCTTTAGATCAGAAATCTGGCAGGCTCAGCTAGGTTAACAGCTTTGGGTCTTACAACAGAGAAATCAAGGTGTTAGCCTGCTGGGATCTTAATGGGAGTCCCTGGGAATTATTTGCTTCCAAGCACATTCAGATAAGTGGCAGAATATAGTTTCTTGCCCCTTTAGGACTGAGGTAGAATTTTCTTGCTGGCTGCCTGATGGGGGCCATCCCTACCTCCTGGATGGTAGATTGGCCCTATCTAATGATCCAGACACTTTTCCTATCCTAAGGTTTGTAACGTTAATTACATCTGCAAAATCCTTTCTGCCATATAACCTAACATAATAATAGGTTCCAGGGATTGTGGCATGGGCATCTTAGGAGGAGCCATACTGCCCACTATACTTACTCACCACAATTAAACAAAATTTAATTGATATAGATTAAACATATAAATATAAAACTGATGTCATAAAAGCAATTGCAGAAAATATGGTCAATTTTTTTCCAATAATGATAGATTGGAGAATACCTTTCTCACCATGATATAGCACTCAGAAATTATTTTTAAAAAATTGATAGATTGGATGATTATTAAAGCTTAAAATGTACGGAAAGTAAACAAAAAATAAAAACATAAATTCAAAAATAGATAATATCATGTAAATAATAGAGAAATGGGTAACATCCTTGCTTACATAAATCTATAAAAATTAATAATAGGCCAGGTGTCGTGGCTCATGCCTGTAATTCTAACACTTTGGGAGGCCGAAGGCGGGAGGATTGCTTGAGCCCAGAAGTTCAAGACCAGCCTGGGCAACTTAGTGAGACCCTGTCTCAACAATAAATAAATAAATAAAATTATCCAGGTGAAGTGGCACTTGCCTGTAGTCCCAGCTGCTTGGGAAGCCGAGGTGAGAGGATTGCTTCAGCTAAGGAGGTTGAGGCTGCAGTGAGCTATGAGCACGACCTCACCACTCCACTCCAGCCTAGGTGACAGAGCAAGACCCTGTCTCAAAAAAAAGAGAAAAAAATAAAAACCAAAAATCTGGAAATGGGAAAAAGATATAAACATGCAATTCACAGAAGAAATACAGCTACTCAATTAATATAAAATATTCATAATATATTGAATGCTTAAAAACATACAATGCATTCACAGATCCTTTGAAAGAAGTGGCACACTGCTGAAAATTCTGTGAGACAGGCAAAAAACTTTGAGTTCCCAAACTGTAAAAGGGGGAAAACCTACCTCCAAAACACATCCCCACCGGGAACCTGAAAATCCAGATTACAGGAGGATTTAACCTTACCTAAAGCTGAAATGGATTTAGTGTGAAATATGAAAGTAGAAGCAACAGCAAGAAGAGCCCTGTAGGCACTCCCATTTCCAGCTTGAGCCCAGGGAAGCCATCTCTGACTATATCTCACAAGTATCTTTGGGGAAGGCAGCCGATGGAATTTGGAAATGGTTACAGGGTGAAAGAAGTTTCCAACTAAATTTTGTAATAAATTCAACAAGGTGCAAACTCTTTTGAGCAGAATCCAAGGGGTGAACAAGAACTGCTACCGAAAGGAGTGCAGGAGCTGTGGCTGAAAATGTGGGCAGGCTGGAAGGGGTGAGGCCTAGAAACTTGCTTGCTTTATCAGCAGGGAAGTATGTAGCCTGGGCCAAGGATACAATATAAATGTACACAAATCAGTAGCACTGCTATACACCAACAGTGACCACGCTGAGAATCAAATCAAGAACTCAATCACTTTTATGACAGCTAAAAAAAATAAATAAATACTTAGAAATATACCTAACCCAGGCAGGAAAGACCTCTACGAGGAAAACTACAAAGCACTGCTGAAAGAAATCATAGACAACACAAACAAATAGAAACACATCCCACACTTATGGATGGGTACAATCAATATTGTGAAAATAAACATACTGCCGAAAGTAATACCCAAATTCAATGCAGTTCCCATCAAAATACCACCAGCATTCTTCACAGAACTAAAAAAAAAATCCTAAAGTTAATATGGAACAAAAAAAGCCTGTATGACAACAGCAAGACTAAGTAAAAAGAACAAATCTGGAGGCATGACATTATGTGACTTCAAACTATACTATAAGGCTATAGTTACCAAAACAGCAAGGTACTGGTATAAAAACAGGCACATAGACAATTAAAACAGAATAGGGAACCCAGAAATAAAGCCAAATACTAATAGCCAACTGATCTTTGACAAAGCAAACAAAAACATAAAGTGGGGAAAGGGCACCCTATTCAACAAATGGTGCTGGGATAATTGTCAAACCACATGTAGAAGAATGAAACTGGATCCTCCTCTCTCACCTTATGCAAAAATCAACTAGAGATGGATAAAAGACTTAAATCTAAGACCTGAAGCCATAAAAGTTCTAGAAGACAACATCAGAAAAACTCTTCTAGACGTTGGCTTATGAAGAGAATTTATGACGAAGAACCCAAAAGCAAATGCAACAAAAGCAAAGATAAATAGATGAGAATTGATTAAACTAAAAAGCTTATGTACAGCAAAATAAATGATCAGCAGAGTATACAAACATCCCACAGAGGGGGGGAGTATATTCACAAATTATGCAACGAAGTACTAATATCCAGAATCTAAAAGGAACTCAAACAAATCAGCAAGAAAAAACCAAATAACCCCTTCAAAATTGGGCAAAGAGCATGAATAGGGATTTCTCAAAAGAAGACATACAAATGGCCAACAAACATATAAAAATTGCTGAACATCACTAATGATCAGTAAATGCAAATCAAAAGCACCATAAGATATCACCTTACACCTGCAATAATGGCCATAATTTAAAAATAAAAAAATAATAGCTGTTGGCATGGATGTGATTAAAAGGGAATACTTTTACAATACTGGTGGGAATGTAAACTAGTACAGCCACTACAGAAAACAGTATGGGGATTCCTTAAAGAACTAAAAGTAGAACTGCCATTTGATCCAGCAACCCCACTACTGTGTATCTACCCAGAAGAAAAAAAGTGATTATATGAAAAAGACACTTGTATCCACATGTTTATAGCAGCACAATTTGCAATTGCAAAAATATGGAACCAGCCTAAATGCCCATCAACTAGCAAGTGGATAAAGGAAATGTGGTATACATATGCACCATGGAATACTACTTTGCCATAAAAATAAATGAAATAATGGCATTCACAGCAACCTGGATGGAGTTGGAGACCACTATTCTAAGTGTAGTAACTCAGGAATGGAAAAACAAATATCCTATGATTTCAGTCACAAGTGGGAGCTAAGCTATGAGGATGCAAGGGCATTAGAATGATATTATGAACTTTTGGTACTTGGGGGCAAGGGTAGGAGCGGGCGAGGGATAAAAGACTACATATTAGGTACAGTGTACACTGCTTAGATGATGGGTGCATCAAACTCTCAGAAATCACCACTAAGGAACTTATCTATGTAAGCAAACAACATCTGTGCCCCAAAAACTATTGAAATAAAAAAATAAATAAAAACGAACACATACACACACGCACACAAAATTACAATGAAATAACAAGTTTGGTCTATGGCCTTACCACCCCAAATCAAATGCACCCAATCTCATCTAAGATATCATTTCATCTATAAGTTAGGAGATTTTAAATGAACTGATAATAGCTTATGTTTCTAAAATTCTGTGAGTTAATGTATTTAGCATGCACACTTTGTGGGGAAGTAATTTAATAGAATATTTGGAAGTAAAACTTGGCACTATGTATCAAAATGTTTAAAACATTTATACTTTGCTGTAGCATTTCTACAGAAATGCATAAATATGCAAAGGTAAATATGCAGTTATATTTACTAAACATTGCTCTAAAAGGGAAAAAATTAGAAGTAAAAAGAAAAAAAATACCATGCCACAATTAAAATAAATTGATATTAAAACAGACTAGATAAATATTACTGAATTAATAACTAATAAAAAACTATAAACTGAATTATTTTTCTTTAAAACAAATATGACTTTATATATCAAAAGAGTCCATAATAATATACAACAATATTGCTAGTAGTGGTTTTATCTAGGAAGTGCAATTTAGAATAAGGGAAATATATATTTACATTTTACATCATATTCTTCATTTTTTAAAATGTTTATACTAAGCATGTTAAGAACATTGTAACAAAAATATTCTAAAGTCTATTATTTGTTTTATTTTTGTGTATGTTAGCTTATGTTTAAGGACTAATTGCTAACTTGATCACATTTTAATCATAGAACCTCAATCGTTATGTTGATTTTTTTACTAAAACCATTCTTCTTATAATTGAATATGATTTATAAAACATAGAAAACACTGAGGTAGTGCATTCTCTATTATGTGTAGGTAAAAGTACTCATTAACAAATAACATAAGCAAACATATACGTATATGTGTGTGTGTGTATTTATGTATGTATATATATATATATATATATATATATATATATATATAACATTCTTATGTCCAACGTATTTTTCATACAAATTATACAAAATTAAAATATCACAGAATGTTAAAGGCACTTGGCACATAATGTTTAGATAAGGGCATTATATCATAAGTTTCTATCATTAAGTATGCATCTTATTTTAGTTCAGATCCATGTCATAGAAATTAACCAATCAGATCATTCTCACTTTAACTTTCCAGACCCAGCAAATATCACCCTAGATGTAAACCAATCTCTCACTATTACAGTATTTCAACAAACTTCACAAAATCCATGAATGAGGCTGATTTTTATAAGTGTTGTAAAGGACTAGCACCTCAATGTTTGGCCAAGATTACTTATAATGAATGAAAAATCTTGGAGAACTGTGGAGTTTTAACTTGATTTTTCTTTCATTTACAAATTTTCAGGATTGGTTATAGATAATAGAGTGCCTTGTTAGATTATATTGTTGATAATCAAATGTATCCTATGTATATTTTCACATTTTAAGGTTAATTTCTGCTTAAACACTGTGTCATCCTCATAATACACACTCAGTAAATGTTTTTGAATAATACAGGTATGAATAAACATAATACCTTCCAAGGCAGTTCATTTTATATTTTGAGAGTATAGAATCTTTTGTAGGTATAAAATATATTTAGTTAAAATCTATCTTCTTGCAGTTCTCACTTATTAGACTAATGACGAAATCAATGAATGTCATGTGATCAAGGAAAGCCATATCATAGTGAGATGTGGAGAAATGGGTCATTATCAATTGAGAGAGAGATTCACATCATTTTTAGTGTTATATTAAAAGAGAAATTACAAAATAAATATGTCATTATCTTCTGGTAATAACACATTAAGTTCTTATGAGATTGGTCCTCTTATTGATAGTACTTATAAACTTTGGACACAATACACAGAAGAGTTACCAAAAATTCCTTGAAAAGTGAGCAGGAGCAGGTCAACCTGGTTGAGAGTCTATGCTTTGAAAAGAAAAATTTTATGAAGTGAATTCTCATTTTTTGTCTTCTAGCCTGAGGACAGACAGAGCTGTCATGGGTTGTAGGTCTGTGTAGGACACCAGTGAATAAATATGTCTTTCTGGTCTATGGAACAAGAAAACTGGAGGTGAAGAAACTACAGTGGCAAGACAATGGTGAGGCCGGGTGCGGTGGCTCACGCCTGTAATCTCAGGACTTTGGGAGGCCAAGGCAGGCGGATCACCTGAGGTCAGGAGTTCGAGACCAGCCTGGCCAACATGGTGAAACCCCGTCTCTACTAAAAATATAAAAATCAGCCAGGCGTGGTGGCAGGTGCCTGTAATCCCAGCTACTCTGGAGTCAGGCAGGAGAATCACTTGAACCTGCCTAGATCACACCACTACACTCTAGCCTGGGCAACAAGAGTGAAACTCCACTAAAAAAAAAAAAAAAAAAAAGACAGCGGTGAAATTCTAGAAGGGAAAGAGCCAAAAATGGGGTCCATAATTCTCTCTACCCATATTTATGACTAATCTATGACCTATGTATGTGTGATGCAGACAAAAGAGGTCAGCTAAAGAGAAAGAATCTGAACTGAGATTTGAGCTGCCCCTTTCCTGTCCAAACAATATAACCGACATTATTTAAAGATAATAAAATATCAAATGCCCACATATTTTTAATGTCCGTCATACAATCCAGCATTATCCAACAAACAGGCAAGAAAATAGAAAATATTCTCAAAAGGAAAAAAAAAGCCTTAACAAAATAATGAAAATAAGAAAGAAAGGAAGACAAGATGAAGAGAACTTGAGGGTAGATAACAAGATGTTGTTACACATAAAGAAAAAAAAAAAGAGGAAATAAGTGAGCATAAACTCAGAGACCTGTTAGATAATATCAGTCTAGAATACATGCACTTAGAGTTCCATGAATAGAGAGAGAAAATGGGAAAAAGAAACAATATTTAAAGAAATAAGGGTGGATTTTCTTAAAATATGATATAACACATAAGTTTTAGAAATCCAAGAGGCTCAGCAAACACCAAGAAAAATAAAACAAAGAAATCCATGCCAAGGTATATCATAGTCCAACTGTTTAAAGCCAAAGATAAGCAAATCTAAATTTAAAATGTAAACAAACAAGAGAAAGAAAAGAAAGAAAAATAAAGAAAGAAAGAAAAGAAAGAAAGAAAGGCCATACATATGAAGGAACAAATATTTGATTAATAGCTACTTTCTCATAAGAAACTATGAAGGACAGTAGATAGTGAAATAACTCTAAAAGACTGAAAGGAAAAAAAATCTACAAAAATTAAATTCAGAGAAAAAAAGCTAAGAGAGTTTGTTTTCGCCAAAACTTTACAGTAAGAAATGGCAAATGAAGGTGTTTTTGGTTGGAAAAAGTATGCCAGATAGACACATAGATCTTTAGAAATGTGTGAAGAGCACTGGAAATGTTAAAAAATTATAATGTATGGCTGGGTACATTGGCTCCCACCTGTAATCTTAAAGCTTTGGAAGGCTGATGCCCGTGGAGGATTACTTGAGCCCAGGAGTTTGAGAACAGTCTGGGCAATATGATGAAACCCCATCTCCACAAAAAAATTCAAAAATTAGCCTGGCATGATGGCACACCTTTAGTCCCAGCTACTTAGGAGGTTGAGGTGGGAGGATTCTTGAGCCCAGGAGGCAGAGGTGGCAGTGAACTGAGATTGTGCCACTGCACTCCAGCCTGGGAGACAGAATGAGAATCCACCTGTGACCTGGAAGCCCTGAATTTGAGATATGCTACCTTTCCAGGCTGAACCAATGTACACCTTCCATGTATTGATTTATGTCTTTGCCTGTAACTTCTGTCTTCCTAAAATATACAAAAGCAAGCTGTAACCCAGCCACCTTGGGCACATGTTCTCAGGACCTCTTGAGGCTGTGTCATGGAAAATGGTCCTCAACCTTGGCAAAATAAACTTGTAAACTGATTGAGACATGACTCAGATATTTTTTGGTTTAAAAAGGGAAGAAGCTTAAGGAAGTAACTTTCACCCTCGTCCCAAAGAAGGTTTGAGGTACTTTTGTACTGCAAGCAACGTTTGCAACTACATAGAGCCTATAGCATCTGGGATCTGCTATAATTGGCCTTACCATCTCTCACAGATGCAGAACTCAGACAACATGACCCCAAAACTTCCTCATCTGGTCACTTACATGAACACTTGAATCTACCAGCCAAGTTTTAATTTTTTTTCCCCTTTAAGTCTCCACCATTAGTCATGAGGAGGATTCATCCTCACAATAATCTTGATTATATAAAAATATGCAAGGAGAAATATAGTAAAATGAAGGATTGCACTTATGGAGAATTTTACAATTTCATAGTCAAAAATTAGAAGACAGTGATGACTAGATCTGCTTTTATCAAAAGTAAATAAATGTTTTGGAGCGACACGATGTAATTCCACATCTTAACTTGGAGAGCATTTGTTGAATTAAGTTAGCCGATGAAGGGTTGTCCTTTAAGTGAATCCATCAATAGTCCCCTAGATAACGAAGATTCCCTTTTGCATAAAAGACATACTCAGAATAAGGAAGAAAGTGTTTTTCTTTTTTACTATCCTCAAATTTGCCTATTTCTCACATTATGCTATGGAAAAACACATTTTCTGAAGCTGATGTGTGTTACTCTTTTTTAAGAAAAACAGTTCTTTCAATACTGCTTTATATTTAAATATCTTCTAGATTGTTCACAAATAGCTTGGGAACAGATGAAGGCAATTTTATATTTTCTTTCTTAAACATGTTGTGCTTGTTAAGCTAAAGTGTGTGTGGAATGAGAATAGAGAGGGATAACATAACTTTTCTTCCAGTATCTCTTAGGATGTGGCCTGCATGTGGAGGAAACAAACAACCAGAATATGCAGTGGGGCTTATAATATCTCAGAGAATCTAAAAGCCAGATTTGTTAATGGTGATTTATAATTCAGAAAATATGCTGGCAGAAAATGTAAAGCTGTTTGTAGATATAAGCCTGGTTGCTAGACTACCTTAAAAAGAGAAATTGGGAGACTTGAATATTGCATGAAGTAGCTGATATAAACAAGAAAACAAAAACAAGCCTGCAGAACTTACAAATGCTTTTTCAGATACAGTTATACACAAAGAACTGTCTGAAAGACCTGCGACTTGATCAAATTTTAATAGGCATTCTGGCTGCCTTTGATTGTTCACAACACAATACGTATTAGTATTGTTTTTGAGGAAAATGTGATCGTTGAAAACTCTCCTTATTTTATTTATATATATATATGGTAAAAACGTCTTGACTATATGTGGTATAAACTTGAAGAAAACTAAGTTTGCAAAGCAAAGCAGTGATTTCCATCAATAAATCATAAAATATAGGACACAGAAACAAAATAAATGTGAAAGTACAAGTCAAAGAAAAGAAACTAAAATTCACTAGATTTTTCAGAATTTATTAGGACTTATACAAATCATTTCAATCATCAGACCTTTCATACAAGTGATCGTCAACATGCATAGACTGTCTTCTTCAAGACCTGATTGACAACATCAAGAAAAATTGGATTACTAAAAATCATTTCATTTTTTTAAAATGCCATTATCTGTAAAGATAATGTTTTAAACTTAAGAGTTAGAAATTATATTATTCAATGTTTATCAATGGGAAAAATTAATTGATGCTTTCAAATAAATTTGATTTATTTTAAAAATATGGTCTTAATATATGTAGCTCTTATTTTAAATGTAATCTACAAAAAGTATACATTTACATGTGCAATATTGATTTCCTTATATGGAAACTGAATAACAGTTTGAATTTATTATTCACTTTAAAATTGTTTTATGTTGAAGATTTAGTTAAAAAATATGAATTTAAATACTTATTTTGTCTAATACACTTACTAGGTAAAAAGGGATACAGAAATGTAAGATATTATCTCTACAACAACAAAAATTTATAATTTATTGGCATAGATAGATGAACAAGCTAAAAATAACTATTTGTTGCTCTAAGAACAAATAGAGAATGCAAAAAAAAAAAAGCTGCAGGACACACAAGAGATGCACTTAATTAAGGCAGGAGGAATGTGGGGAATATGCAGAAAGCTACAATTGAGCTGAATTTTGGAGGACAGGTAGATATTGTTGAAGAAAGCCTGGAGCTGATTTTGCTTGTAGATAATAACACAGACAAAGACTAGGAGTTTCAAGGTGGCATTGTGCTGTATAGAAACTTCACATAATCTATTATTGTATTGTTGGAGTATTGTATGCTCAGCAAAGAGGAGGCTTAAAAAAGATTGCAGACATTAGACTGTAAAGAGTCTGGTGGGACATGCTACGTGACTGGAACATTATGACTTCAGAGGTTCTGGCAAGACATTGAAGAATAAGCAGTGGAGTGCAAACGTCAGTTTTGCATTCTCCAAAATTACTCCAGTGACTATTACAAGGTGGGGTGCTGCAGAGTGAGGAGATATGAAGAGGAATGTTTGGCCTGGACAGTGCTGAAGAGAAAAAGATCAGTTAGCAGTATCGTGCAGTGTCCAGGTTAGATGTGATCACAGTCCAAATATGAGATGGACAGCAGAAATGGAAAAAAGTGAAAAAAGTAATAGCTATTTAGGAGCTAAAATTAAAGGCTTTTAGCAGTAGTATCACCTGTACACTCAGCTGTGGATTTTCCTTTAGAAGTCTTCTGCACTCCAGGTACAGGAGCAGAATAGGCAGATGGCTGGATTGATCTAGGGCTAGAATTGTTTAAAGTGGTTAGTAGAAAAGAAAAGGTAGCAAGAAATATGAAGGTACTGGTGAGATAATAAGTGACTTAATTGAAAGTAAATTTTATACTTGCATAGTATATCCACACACCTATTGAAGGACATTTAGATGGTTTTTACATCTTGGAAAGGAAAGTTATTTGGGGTGACAGAACTAGTCTACATCCTGATCATGATGGTGATTACACCTAACCATGCATGTATTAAAACTCATAGGCCAGTAAACCAAAAAGAATAAATTTTAATGTATGTAATTTTTTTTCAAAAATGCAGAGTAATTTGGTAAGAGAGCTATTAAGTAGATAATTCATAGGTGACATAAAAACCTGAAGGACAAGTTATACATCAGCAAATATTCAATAACAAAGCAAAAATTTCCACCACTGAAACAGCTAGCTTTTCTGTTTTTATTTACTTGTATTTCGCCGAAAATAAATGCAACTTTTGCATGTATGTAATATTGTTCATCTAGCTCCAATTGGTCCAGATCTTTAGTCTAACCACATCCTTTTCTTACCCAGACCCTGCATCAGCATGTATATTGAGGACTTTCCTCCTGGAAATGCAGGCTTGTGAGATAGGAATCCTAGATTTTTAGTAGTTCGTATTCTCAGTCACAATCAATCTAAATATAAAAGTCTTCATGAGATAGAAGAAATATATATAGTCTTCTAAAGGAAATGCCAACTGAAGTTTTGTATATCTGGCTTAATTTTTTGGCTAGTTTACATGATAAAATTGGAGATTTTAAAATTGGGAGTGAATAGTACTCATGACTTCATTAGCAATTTAAAAGTACATTTAATATTTTCATATGTTTAATTGGTCACTGTTAGCATTACCATCCTTTCACTGTTCTGCTGGATAAGCTCTAGAACAGTGAATCATGTAGCATTATACACTGCCTCTAGTCTGCAAAAGCATTTTGGTGTCTCCACTTCAAATATTTTTATCCAACTTTGCACTGATCTTGGGCAAATAAACATTAGTAAGATACAAATTCTGACAGAAAAAGACTGGTTTTGTGGGAGAATATGACTAAACATCATTTCAGAAACACTTTCCTAGAATTATACCAACTGGAATGGCAGTCTGTAACTTCATTTTTAATGAACGTTAGCCAAAGATACTACATATTGATTAAATTAAATGTTCAAATCAAAGTGTATTTGTTTATGTGTATATTTACATCTCTATATTTTGAAATAAGTTATTTGTCTTTTATGTAGTTCAATTAGTACACAATTCCCTTTTCTCCTGGGCCTGTCATATCTCAGAAGACATCACTGGGAAAATAAGAGGAAAGGAAAAAGAGACCAAGCATGACTCCTAGTTTTGAGTTTGTTGTACCACATAGCTAATTGACTTAATATTGAGCCAGAGGCTCCAACTCAAATCATGTTCGGAGGAGTAGACGGACCAGTGCAGATTCATCATCAAGCATGACAGGTAAGTTTTCTCCAGCTCTTTTTCTTAATCATTTCTTATGATTCTTTTTTCCCTTCAATTTTTATTAGTATGAAAAAAAAGTGGGAATTTGAAAAGAATATGATAGATGTTCGGAGATTTCTCTAGGCCTTACTTTTGTTACTTTTTATGAAAAATAAAGGTGATATATTATGAAATAATACAGTTTTGTATATTTGAACCCATGTTAATACATATTACATTGTTACTTATCAAATGCTAAACTTTCACTAGATTTTAAAAATATTAAAATTTCATTTCAGCTTTTATATTTCATATCAATAGACAGAGATCATGGTGGAAAGAACATTTATTTACAGTACATATTTTTTTCTAGATAAACAAGGAACACTGAAGGGAATTTGAAAAAAAAAAGTAAGGAACTGAAAATATTTCATAGGCTTTTGTCTTAATAAAATGCTGAAGTGAAAAGACACCTATGGTTTAGCTCAACTTCTAGGAAGCTGTATCACTGCAGTTGTGAGATTTGAAAGATTGGTCACAACATTCAGCTCAACAAATTTCCATTGGTCACAGCCAGATAATTTTTCACCAGTTAAATTGCACCTAATGCAATAATATTGAATTAATTTCCTATGGATGTGCTCTAGCTATGAAAAACCTTTAAACTCCAAAGATTGTCAGCGATACTTCAGGGAGCCAAAGAACACTAAATAATATTAATGTGCTCCGAAATCTCGGTACTACTTGCAAAATACCCGTAATCTTTTTAAACAAAGCAAATCTAAAAGGCTGTGAACAAGGTGGATTAGCAATGCATTCTCAAAGTGGATTCCAAAACACTAGAGCGGCAGCCAAATAACCTGGGGTCCCATTTAAAAAACCTGGATCTATGAACCTGGATAAACATGCATTTTTATGGTTTTTTTTTTTTTTTTTTTTTTTTTTACCAAATTTTGCTTTCAGCCTTAAATGAAGGTAACAGGATGCTCCATGTCACTAAACTAAAACATCCTGGACACACACTACATTTTTAGAAAATGCTATTGCCAAATTTAAAGCAGATTAGAAGCAGATTTCTTGTATCCTTCACCACAGCTGCAAAGAAGCCAATTTGTATAGCAAGTAAGGCAAACAGCTTAGATGATGTACCAGACCAATTTAAAATGACTTTACTTGAGAATCAAATTCTTCAGGAATATCTATAATTAAATGTTACATTTGGGGTAAAGTATCTAATAAATTAAAATTTTCCAATTCTGGTAGAAATATACATGGAGACTAGAACTAATGTATAAAATAATATACAAAATAGTTGAACTGGGGGCAGGAGGAGTAATGACCAGCTATATTACAAGCAGTACTTTCCCAGGACAGAATAGACCAAGACGTATTCAAAGCCAGAACATATATGAGGCTTCTTTTAGGTCTGCTCATTGCCAGTGGACCCATCATGTCATTATTTCTAGCTATAACATTTATACATATAAAGATATGTTCCAAAAGTATACAAAAATATTTAAATGTTTAAGCGGTCAATGTGATGCTTCTTTAAAAATAAAACAAACAAGCAAACACAGACACACACACATATACACACACACACACATCTGTATTTTGGAAAGCACACAAGAGTTAATATAATGATCAGAGGGAAAAATTCACTATGTTATCCTCTAAAGGTTTTATAACCAAAACACTTTGGAATATATGATTATAAATTATAAATTTGATCTTTGAATCAGCCAAGGTATATTATTGTAAACTTAAATGTTAGAGTGAGGGTAGCTTGAATAACCAGCCTTATTTTCCAGTTGATTTTTATTTTACAAAGTTAAATAGAAATACTTCTATTAAGTGATATCCCAGTGTGAAAAATAAGTACCACCAAAAGATC
Source organism: Homo sapiens (assembly GCF_000001405.40). Lineage (NCBI taxonomy): Eukaryota > Metazoa > Chordata > Mammalia > Primates > Hominidae > Homo > Homo sapiens. The sequence goes on along the minus strand of NC_000023.11, from coordinate 89,374,200 downwards.
TTGAAAGGTTGACTTAAGGAGTAAAATGTAAAGGTCATTTCTTGACTTTCTCAAGGATAATGATACCTTTAACATAAATGAACCACTTAGCTCTAAGTCTTAAGACAGCTTCTTTTATGTTGGTAATATACTAATGCATAAATTGTTTAACTTCTGACAATATACAGTGTAATTTACACGCTGTCACTTTATAAGTAATTCTCATAAAGTGTTTTTTAAGATAATCTACATCAGTTTCTTTGTCTTGCCCATTCCTATGAAATAGATATTTTAGAAAAAGTTTAAAGACATAGACAAATGCATTTATATTAAATTGGTGATTTTTTTGCAACAATGAACTGATATATATTTGATTGTAAGTAAAATATGACATTTTTAAAATTTTCTTTGACTTAATATGCACTTACATACATAGGTCTTGTTTTGCAACTCTTCATATCTCACTTCACAGAATATATTTTCAATTAATTTTAGGATTCACGATAAAGCCTTACAAATAATTGTTACGATATGTATCCATACTATAGACAAATAAAGAAACTTTATTTCAACTTTATATTATGTTATTCGACTCTAAGTCAACCACAAAAAAATCTTCAGATGCCTCTGTTTGACTCTATTTTTTTCTATATTTTCACTGAAATTGATCATAATACAGCTTTTCTCTGTATTAAATATGAGTTTTTGGTTGTCTTGGGGACTTACTTACCATGTACAACACTGGTTCTGTGACCAAATGCTTTCTAAATTTCAAACAAGCCAATGAACATTGGGAATGCAACTTGTTGATAAACTTGAGATTGCATTTATTCAATACAATTCACGCTGTTGCAAAAAATTTTCCAAGCCCACTGGTGCACTTTGTTTTATTATAAATATCTCATCTGATGTGTCAGTAAGATAAGAGACATATTTTGCTTAGCAAGTAATTTTTAAAATTTTGGACTGTTATTAAGGGTCTCCTATACCTTCTAAAAGAAACTTGTAAGTCCAGCTTTTAGGAATTGTTTAATATTTCAGTATTCCTCTAGCTGACTAGGTGATCAATACAATATGAAAAAAGTGCCATATCCTCAATCTTTTCTGATACATTTCTTTGTTCTATGCTTTAATAGAAGTGAGTTATCATAACTAGTGTCAAAAATAATAAAAGTCAAGTGTCTTTGTGTGTGTGTGTGTGTGTGTGTGTGTGTGTGTGTGTGTGAGAGAGAGAGAGGTATTTTTCATATACTTCCTTTGGGTATTTTTTTGTTGTTGTTTTTATTTGTCTCTTGCATGTAATTTAGGGACTAGGTCCCAAGGTGCTCTGAGCCTTAATCATTGTCTGAAATGTGGTTTGAAATGGAGACTCCCTAGCAACAGTATGAATCACTTATTCCCAAACTACCAGTATGACAGAAGACTCCATATTACTGTTTAAAATAATGTTCCTGGTTTTTGCACAAGATTTATCCATCAAACACTGGGCCCCTAAGTGTATGCATAATTGAAATTTTATTGAATACTGATGTATATGCCACCATACACATCACTCAGTGGAATGCAGTTTAGGAGGTTAGTTTCTTCCCTTTTTGAATAGTGCTGCAATAAACATATGTGTGCATGTGTCTTTATAGTAGAATGATTTATAATCATTTGGGCATATACCCAGTAATGGGATTGCTGGGTCAAATGGTATTTCTAGTTCTAGATCCTTGAGGAATCGCCACACTGTCTTCCACAATGGTTGAACTAATTTCACTCCCACCAACAGTGTAAAAGCATTCCTATTTCTCCACATCCTCTCCAGCATCTGTTGCTTCCTGACTTTTTAATGATCGCCATTCTAACTGGCGTGAGATGGTATCTCATTGTGGTTTTGATTTGCATTTCTCTAATGACCAGTGATGATGAGCATTTTTTCATGTCTGTTGGCTGCATAAATGTCTTCTTTTGAGAAGTGTCTGTTCATATCCTTTGCCCACTTTTTGAGGGATTGTTTGTTTTTTTTTGTAAATTTGTTTAATTTCTTTGTAGATTCTGGATATTAGCCCTTTGTCAGATAAATAGATTGCAAAAATTTTCTCCCATTGTGTAGGCTGTCTCTTCACTCTGATGATAGTTTCTTTTGTTGTGCAGAAGTTCTTTAGTTTAATTAGATCCCATTTGTCTATTTTGGCTTTTGTTGCCATTGCTTTTGGTGTTTTAGTCATGAAGTCTTTGCCCATGCCTATGTACTGAATGGTACTGCCTAGGTTTTCTTCTAGGGTTTTTATGGCTTTAGATCTTACATTTAAGTCTTTAATCCATCTTGAGTTAATTTTTGTGTAAGGTGTAAGGAAGGGATCCAGTTTCAGCTTTCTACATATGGCTAGTCAGTTTTCCCAACACCATTTATTAAATAGGGAATCCTTTCCCCATTGCTTGTTTTTGTCAGGTTTGTCAAAGATCAAGTGGTTGTAGATGTGTGGTGTTATTTCTGAGGCTTCTGTTCTGTTCCATTGCTTTATATATCTGTTTTGGCACCAGTACCATGCTGTTTTGGTTACTGTAGCCTTGTAGTATAGTTTGAAGTCAGGTAGCATGCCTCCAGCTTTGTTATTTTTGCTTAGGATTGTCTTGGCTATGCGTGCTCTTTTTTGGTTCCATATGAAATTTAAAGTAGTTTTTTTCCAATTCCGTGAAGAAAGTCAGTGGTAGCTTGATGGGGATAGCATTGAATCTATAAATTACCTTGGGCAGTATGGCCATTTTCACGATATTGATTCTTCCTATCCATGAGCATGGAATGTTCCATCTGTTTGTGTCCTCTTTTATTTCATTGAGCAGGGGTTTGTAGTTCTCCTTGAAGAGGTCCTTCATATCCCTAGTAGGTTGTATTCTTAGGTATTTTATTCTCTTTGTAGTAATTGAGAATGGGAGTTCACTCATGATTTGGCTCTCTGTTTGTCTGTTCTTGGTGTATAGGAATGCTTGTGATTTTTACACATTGATTTTGTATCCTGAGACTTTCCTGAAGTTGTTTATCAGCTTAAGGAGATTTTGGGCTGAGACGATGGGGTTTTCTAAATATACAATCATGTCATCTGCAAACAGAGACCATTTGAATTCCTCTTTTCCTAATTGAACATGCTTTATTTCTTTCTCTTACCTGATTGCCCTGGCCAGAACTTCCAATACTATATTGAATAAGAGTGGTGAGAGAGGGCATTCTTGTCTTGTGCCAGTTTTCAAAGGGAATGCTTCCAGTTTTTGCCCATTCAGTATGCTGTTCGCTGTGCGTTTTTAATAAATAGCTCTTACTATTTTGAGATACGCTCCATCAATACTTAGTTTATTGAGAGTTTTTAGCATGAAGCGTTGTTGAATTTTGTTGAAGGGCTTTTCTGCATCTATTCAGATAATCATGTGGTTTTTGTCATTGGTTCTGATTGTATGACGGATTACATTTACTGATTTGCTTATGTTGAACCAGCCTTGCATCCCAGGGATGAAGCCAACTTGATCGTGGTGGATAAGCTTTTTGACGTGCTGCTGGATTCGATTTGCCAGTATTTTATTGAGGATTTTTGCATAGCCACTTTTGAAAGCAAAACTTGTAGATTTTCTGCCTCTTGGCAAACATCCTGTTCAGTGTGGAAAGTTGCCACATACTGAGTATTAGACAGGCACCTCAAAATGCTGCATCTCCATGAAGAAAATGTGCAAAATATGTTTCTGCATATGAACTACAAAATGAGTTCCTTATTTGCATGAATATCAGAAACAATAGATGTTCTCCTAAGCAAAGAAATTTATTATGTTTGTTCTAAATAAAGTACTTAAGAACAAACAAATGCTGAATTATATTTTCTTGAAAAACTCAGTGATTTTAAGTGTTATCTTAGATCGTGTTAATCACAGTCTTGTCAGGAGACAAATGGTGTACTCAAAAGGGATTATTGAAATGAATTCGAAAAAAGGTTTATTTACAGGTATGGGCAGAATTAAGGAGAAACAGTAAGGCATAATAAAATCCCCCAGGGCTGACCACAGCAGAAAGTTTTTACCACACTTAGGACTGAAGAGACAAAGAGAGGATGTGGTTACAGGGACCTTAGGGCAGCTGAAACTGTAGCTGTAAGAGAGGGCTACCTGAAAGGGTCTATGGCCTTGAGTAGAAGCATGCAGTCATTGTCAACCCATGGCTTGCAAGGAGTGAGCTAAGGGAATAAATAATCCAATTTCTTCTTTTCATCTTTCTGAATTCTTCTGACTGTGCTTCCTATTGGCCACTAAAAACTACAGGGAATGGTAGTCAGGTCACCGTAGTTTACAAAGATAAGCATTGCAAGGTGCAAAGAGAGAGGAGAGGGGAGTAGAGTATATCTGGGAGAAGCAAGCTAAAAACATTTAGCAGTCTATCCCTTTTGACCCTTGGTTTCTATTCTTGTCCTTTATCTGGATGAAAAAAATGTATTCCAACCACAGGAGGTGCAAACATTTCAATTCAGTCACATTCCCACCTGATATCTAAAACACTGTAGCTCTTTGTACGGGATGAGGGAGAGGGATAATTGACATAATATATAGCTGATACCATTTCGTTTCTGTAGCTGGTCACAAGGTCTAAACTGATAATACTAGTTTTATTTTTCTATGACCTATTACACTTTCCATTTACCTTCTCCCAGCATCTTGGCTAGATATATATATATATATTTTTGTAACCTGGTAGAGTAATAATAAATTTTATTTTCATAATATTTGAACCCTTGATGGTCCTGCTTTTATTAATTGCCTGTTTTCTGTTAACAAAGACTATTGCACTAAGAGGTGCCCCTGAAGTCTCTGGGTTCCAGATATAATTTTCCTTGCTTCCACTTCTTAGAAGCAACCTGACTTCCCCTTGGTAACCAGAATTAATTACTCCGGCCAGTTCAATGACCCTCTTTTCTTGCTGCAGGTTTGGCATCATGAATATGACCAAGAGGCAGTCTCAGCTTCCATCTTATGAGAATCATGGCTATTTCTTACCCTTGAGTGAGGGTGTGCTACCCTTGAGCACTGAGATCTTTAAACACATAAGATCAAAGGCATCAAAAATGAGAAACAAACATTCTTGTAGGGAGTTATTAGGTGTAAAAATGAGAGTAGTGCACCTACTTCCATCCCTTAAATCCCAGACCCATGCATTTAGTTTATGGGGAAGAGAGCATTATATTTTGGCTACAATTTGAGGAATACAACATATTCTGTATGATAGCATCTCAATATTGCAAGATCCTATCATAAAAATTGTTTCTGGATAGTGGAATAGTGGGGGCTTAAAGCCACCAAATTGTGTGTTTCTGTGCCCATCGTCTTATTTCCTTCTGGGAAAAATAATTCCCTTGTTTATAGATGATGTTTTATGGGTATATAAAGCATTCTGTCCATGTAAGTATGGTGGCAATGCCCAGGGAAAACAAATCCAAATCCAGATGATGAGTGTATTCTTGTGAAGACAAATTGCTTTCACTTCCATAATGAAAAAAAAAACCCAATATGATCAATCCACCAAAAGGTAGCTAGCATGTTCCCCCCACATGCTGTACCAAAATGATACCTCAAAATTTGGCCTCTATTAATGAAAGGTAAAGCACTTAGCAGCCACAGAAACAAGATCAGCCTTAGCGAAGGGAAAGTCTTGCTGAAGAAAATATACATAGTCTTCATACTTGTCATCATGGCCACTTTGTCTATGAGTCCATTAAGTAATCACTGTAGAGTAAAAAGAGGCCAAACGATATCCAGATAATGTGTCATTACGTTTAATATAACAGCTTTGGCTGTTTTCTAGTGGAGCACAAATTTATGTGGGAAGTGAGCATCCTCATACTCAGTGCCCATTTTGAGAGATTCATTCACATACCTTTTCCCAAATTCTCTTCACCAATTTTCCAACATTATTTTATCTAGGTCCCTATTTAGCCAGTTTAATCATTAGTCTCCATTTTTTAATCATCATATATCCACACTCAAGTTATCTCTCTTTTTGCATATATTGAACATCTTGGTATAGCACTTGAAATTCTACCCACCAATGGAATTTCCCTTTACCTCAGCTTTCTGGGGTATCCATGACTGAGCTTCTAAGTGGCCATCCATTTTTAGTTGGGACTAGCACACACTGAAGACGCTAATATAAACCAGGCTTACCTTTTTTTTTCTCTTCAATAACTGGCCATAGCATGTAGGTTAAAGCAAAGGGAAGAAATAAATAGAAATAGATTATCAAGCAAGTCTGAACTGATGGCTTAGCAATTTACTTGTGACTTCCAGGCCTGCTGAGGCTTTGTCTGGTATATACAAGTTCAATTAAAGGTGAAAAGCTGCTGTACACATCCAATTTTATGGATCAGATATCACTTAGTTCACTAATAGTAGTTTGGGATTGCATAGTTACTTGGAAATCTCACAGGTGTTCAAGTTCCTTCGGAAAATGTTAAGTCAGGAGCTGATTTTCAAATGGAAATAGCTACTAATAAAAAGGCACATTTTTGGGCCAGGCACTCAGGGCAATGGCAGCAGTGGCGCAGACTGCACCATGTAGTACCTGGGGCATCCTGGCGCTGGCAGCGGGTACCACCCAGGCGGGTATGGAGGGACTCCTGGAGGGCCTGCATTTCCCAGAAAAACTCAGGATCCACTATATGATTACTTTGCTGCTGTAGCTGGACATGATGGGCAAATAGATGCTGATGAATTGCAGAGATGTCTGACACAGTCTGGCATTGCTGGAGGATTCAAACCTTTTAACCTTGAAAAGAAAAGGCAAACCAGGCCAATTTTAAATTTAAGAAACAGAAACATTTTTCAAGAGAGCTTAACAGATAAAAAATGAAATTATTCTATTTTCTACTTGCCAACAGAGTATCTTATTTTAGGATGCAGTGTGAGAGTTACCATTCAACTGAACAATTAGTTGTCAACCAACCAAAATAAAACATTTCTCTAAGCAAAAAAAAAAAAAAAAAAAAGTGGGGGACATATTTTTTCTCAAGCCCTAGGGATCTAAGCTTATTATTTGTCTTATATAATATTGTCAGAGATTCTATATATCATCTCTATATACGATAGACACATTCCTAGTTTCAGCTGCCTATAAGTGAATACTCAGAGTTTTGTTCTCTGTAGCTCTTGACTCTACTCTCTAGGGTATCCTTTTTTGCCCACTCGAACTGGGTACTTCAGAAAAAGTGGACCACATTGGTAGTTGAATAGCTTTCACATCTACTATGCTGCAGTTATAAGCAATGAATTAGATGTATACATTGCAAGATGAATGGCATTTAAAGGCATAGTGTGAACTAACAAAAGTAATACACAGGAAAAAATCTATAATATAATCCAATGTTCATAAATTAAAAATATGTTGACACAAAATTGATATCCATTTGAAAGTTCATATACAAAAAAATTACAAAATTAACACATTAGAGTGGTTACTATGCAAGGGAGAATAAACACGAATATCAATGTTAAAATGAAATGAATAAATGAATGAATGAAAAAAGAGACAGATTTTGTCTAGACCAATGAAAAATGTGCCTAACATTGAAGTATATGATCAATTAAAGCTTATAGATCTTGAGTGAGGCTTTTTTTCTAAAATTTTTATTGGCACTGGTGCAAGTTGAAATGAGTAAAAACCATAAGTACTCTTTCAAGAACATTCAATTACACAATCAAATGTAAATTTATAATAAGCACAAAAATGTCTTATCTGTGAAGAGTTAGTTCCAACAAAAGCATAAAATTTGTTTAATCTTCTTTGTTGATAATAATCTTTTTTGCTAAATATGAGTGTTACTTAAAGGATCAGGAAAGTTTAATTGTGATTTTATTAATTTCTATGCACTTGTACCTGGCCCAGCATTGATAATATTTATTTTCAGGTTTTAACCCAGTGTCTTCCATTAAGGGATAATAGCATGTAGTTTTTACTTAGACAACATATTTACTAAGTAACATTCTATTCAATCTTGGTTTGTTTCTTTCTGTGAATTCTCCTTAAAAAATGGTAACGAAACTTTTAAAAATATCTTGGAGATTACTGCTTAAGTGCTGCCATATAAGTAATGAGAATACATATTCTAATGTTTAAAAATCCAGTAACTCTTTTTACCACTTGAGCAAATTTGATGTTGAAACTATTTAAGGTTATTTCTAATTTATCCATGTTGATTAAAGATAACTTTTTCATAAAATGGGCTCTCACTACTAATTTGCCAACAAATCAAGATGCTCACTCTTTATTAACTTTGTAAACCTGGTAGAATTATGATTTTCAAGGGGACAAGCTGAATATGTTGCACTCCCTGAATAGAAAACTAAGTTTGATTGCTAAGTGGTATTTGGGTTTGTAATCAAACATCACAATTTCATTTATGCAGTCAGTGGGAACTAAGAAAATTTTTTTTAGAGAAACATGTATTTCCTTCTAAATATAATGTATCTTACCCTAATACATTATAAATTATAATTATAAATAAATATAATAAATTATAATATATTATAATAATTATAAAGTTTGATGTTTACACATTATTGATACATTCACATGCAATATGAGGTCATTTAGAAATCACTGATAATTTTATCTTATTTCAAACATGACCAACGGTCAAATAGAAAGTTTAAATAATTTAATCCTGAGTGTGTAACATATATTTTAGCCATTGAATCTTTTAAGGAATTTAAAACTTTATTCACAGCATTTATAAAGTATGAACTTTTAGAACTCAATGAAGTAGACAGAAAGGCCTTTTCAAAAAGATATACACAATAACAAGACAAAATATACTACTTTGCTGCTTTCACCCCATGAAATATATTTGAAAGTTTCCAATACTAGTGCAACAAATTAAAAGTGGCCATACTCTTCCCACAAGGAGGTGGGGTCTATGTCCCTTTTATTTGAATGTGGGTGAGTTCTAAAACTGATCTGACAATAATACATGGTGGAAGTGATTCTGGGCCAGTAACTAGGTTCAAGTCTTAAGATACTGTCAGGTTTCATTTTCTGTATCTGGTATCATTCTCTCTGGGAGACCTGAGCCATCAAGTAAAATATATGGCTATCCAATACCTCCACATTGTGCCTGTCACATATAGGCACAATGGTCAACAGTTGCAGCTGAGTGTTGCCTTTCAACCATCTCTGCCAAAATATTAGGCATGTGGGTGAAGCTATACTGGACATTCTATACCAGTCCGTCTGTCAGTTGAATACCACTAAATGAACTCAGTAGACATCATATTCAACAGAAGAATTATCCAACTTATTTTTGCTTTAATTCCTGACAAAGACACTTTTCTAGACCAAACTCTAGTCAGAATCCTCTAAGGTCTCTCTTCAACAAGGCCTTACTCAACCTTGGCCTATAAAAAAACACACATTTTCAGTACCGGTGATTTTGCCCACACACTAAGAGAGCTGAACAAACGCTTCTAACATAGCTTCTAATAGCTCAGAGTTGCCAAATAATTTGCTATTTGGCCCTACCAACATCTAAAGACAGGTTCCCTGTCTCCCACTCTCTATGGAAGGGTAAGCGCCTAACTGTGATAAATGCCAGTTAGCAAACCAAAATGGGTTTTACATTAACCAATCCCTTTGTCATGATTTTCTGTAAATATCCATTTTCTGGACTTTTTTCAACCATTGTTCCCCTCCTTATTCCCTCATTGTCCCTTTATAGTGCCCAGTCACCTCTGCACAAATGAATTTTGAGTTAAGTTCACATTATAATATACCCCTTATTGAAACAGTTATTACTGATTAAAATCTGTTCTTACCACATTAACTAGTATCCAGCATTATTTTTGACACTTCTTACCCACAAAAATGTGAGCTATAACAAACTGAATATTGTTTTAAAATACATTTGAGTTTTGGGGTATTTTTCTATGCACTAATATACAAACAGAATAACTGGAAAAGGCACTTTCTGATAAAAATACTATTTACATTCTCTAAATACATATTGTCTACCTGGGACTAGGTTATACTCTGAAATGGTGCTATTAATAAATGAATCAAAGTTTTACCTTTTAAGAGATAGTAGTCAAGATAGGCACAGATATACAATGTAAATAAAATCCAGCTAGAGTAGGAGATAATATATTATAGTTATCAAAATCATGGAGTTTAGAGTTAGATGAACATGCTCAACTATTCTAGCTCTATTATTCACTGGTTAGGAGTGTTTGGAAAAGACTTTTAAATCACTCTGGCCCTTAGTGTTCTCATTAGTGCATCAGGAATTATAAGCCTGTATATTTATATGGTTCCTGTTAGGATTAAGTGAATTAAAAATAACCCAAGCACTGTGTTATCATTTGGTAAGAACGCAGTAAATGGCACTCAATTTTATTACAACAGTTGCCATAATACAAATGTAGGAATCAAAAGAGAGAAAGCCACTTCTATGTGACAAGCAGGAAGAACGTATAAGATGTGGTGATTTGAATTGGCTAACCTAAACACTTTCAGAACCTCCTCTTTTTCATTTCTTTTACTATATAGTATAGAAAGCTAAACATTTACCTTACAAAACTCACTTGCAGGTAAGATCATATACAACATCCAGCTTGACTAATAAAAGCTAAGAAGAAATCATTAATATGGACCCAGGAATGCCTTAAAAAACTAAATTTTTTGGCTCATTTTTCGTTATCCTTCTGCCTCCCACCTGCCTGGAAAGCAGAAATAAGCTGGAGATGAAGCAGCCATCTTGCAACGATCATAATGAAGCATGCATGTAAGGATGGCGGAGTAGAAGTGTAGAAAAGATCTTCATCCTTGATTATTTCAATAAGCCATAAACCTGCCTGGATTGAATCACTCTGCATTTCTTGTATTTGTTTAAACCAGCATTTGTCAGATATATTATTTGTTGCGACTAATTGAAATCCTACCAATACAGAAGGCTGAGTGGAAAAAGAAATCTGGTCTAGGGACTGAAGGATAGACAGGATGTGCTATTTCCAGAGATAGGTAGAAATTTATGGCCTCGACAGGGAATAACATTGAAAGAATGAAAGAAGTAAATAAGTCATTAACAGTCATAAAAATAAGAAAACACTACTGAAAAATAGTAACAGTAAACTAAAAGCCTTGATTAAATAAAATCCAAGAAAACAAGCCTGTATTAATTTAATTTTAAAGTTATTTTAATCAAATTTTCTTAAAATTAATGAATTATGAATTAAAGGTAAAGTAGAATATCAAAATTATTACTAAAGTTTTATTTCAAAAATGGAAGAAAATATTCCATTTCTCCAAAGTTACAATTTGTCAGTGGAAATGGATTTATTTGCTAGAAAAGGAAAAAATAATAATTTTCCTTGAAGTTTCAAAAATACAACAAAAGCAAACAGAATGAATTGTATAAATCTCTGCTTATTTTCAACCTAAAAGTAAGGCATTACATGCAATGTGACAGTCTTCTTTTATCTGTTTTTTCTAGTAAGTAAGCACACAAACAAAAACACATTCTGCTTTAGAAGATGAAGAGTATTATATCATATTTTAATGAACAAGTGATCTTCTTTAATGTTTTACTATTCAATATGCTAGAACTCCGAACTCTAAAGCTCATAGCATTTTTATGGCAAGTAGTTTAGGACTGGATTTTTATAGCTATCAGTGTATCCAAGTCTTCTTATTAAGTTAAAACTAAAAACAGTCATATACTGTGAACAAATATTTAACCTACAAAATGTTTATATTATTTTCAAAATGACGGTCACCTTTTTAACTGTTAATAAAATAGGTTTAATCTAGAAACTGATCTCTTGCAAAAATATTCTCATTTAGCCAACTCAAAAAACAACTTATAATGCATAGTCCAGGGATGTGATGGAAGTTTTGTGCTTATGCACATATATACCTGCTTTCTACATAGATATACTAAAATTGTGAATCAACCACAACTGAAACACAATTACAGAGAAAGAGGAAACAATCCGCTTTTGAAAATGCAACAAATATACCCATGATATGACATTTAATCCAAGATTCAAGGAGCAATTTTGAATGAAACCACCTTTGCAAAAATTATAACTGAGAAAATCATTACAGCAAAAGACATCTTACCCAATCAACTCCATCTTATTTGCTCCTACCTTCCAAACTGTCTGTGTTTATTAGTGGGTGTAGGCTGAACTAACTTTGGGAGGAACTTAATTTATAGTTTAACTTTGAAACAAAAATGATAACAGCCCTTTCTCAAAACAAATCACTTTCCTGTCTTGAGACTGGACTGCCTTTACAGGCCTAACGAATTAGCTACAAGATTAGAAATTATGATTCTGAACCTTCCCAAATTGCTCCTGGGGATAATATCACTATTGTAAACCCTAATATCAGTATTTGAGATATTTTGAAGACCTTGCACTCCATGGATTAGCTGGAACCACCCAGATCAATAAACTGGCTCATCTGGTCTTGTGTCCCCCACCCAGGAACTGACTCAACACAAGAGTATTGCTTGGACTACCTATAATCTCATCTCTGACCCGGCCAATCAGCACTCCCTACTTTCCAACCCACTACCCACCAAATTATCCTTATAAACCCCATCCTGAGTTTTTCGGGAGACTGATATCAGTAATAATAAAATTTTGGTCTCCAGTATAGCCAGTTCTGCACGAATTAAACTCTTTCTCTATTGCAATTCCCATCTTGATAAATCGACTTTTTCTAGGCAGCAGGCAAGGAGAACCCACTGGATGACTACATGAATAGTGCAAGATAGAGCCAAATGTAAAGTCATTTCCAACTAAGTAACAGGAGTGCTTACTTTGCTGATAACTAATTAAATTATTATTTTTCTTTGTAAAGGGTATTTTAGGTGGTAAGTTATTTCATATGTGGTATACATTACTTTTTAGAAGTCAATTTTAATCTATAAACTCCATTAAAATAAAATGTACAGAAAGACTAGGTGATGTCAGCAAGGTGGTAAAATAGGAAGCTCCAGACCCTCTAACTCATGTAGATACTGACTCAAAGAAAATATATGAAACAATTACCTTTGTGAGAAACCCAAAAACCTGTTAAGAAAGAGGCTTTTGTACCCTAGATGATTTTGAAACCAGCCACATAGAAGCTGGTAAAAAAAAAAATCTGTGGCATTCACCAACCATAGTCCCTCCCCGGTACACTGTGATGGTACAATAGAGAGAAATCTCCCAGGTCTTAGCTTCTTCCTGGGGAGAAAAGAGAAGACTGAACCATATATCAAATATTCTGCCTTTTCTTTGGGGTGGTAAGACTGCCTGGGAGACTGCCTTCTGTCTTGCCAGAATATAAGCACTGACAAGAAAAGGCTTCAATTTGGGGACCTATGAGGACGAAGGTGCCAATTTAGATTAGCACTTGACCACTCCCTACAGTCCCTCACCTGGCTCAGCATGAAACCAGCAGGAGAAAATCTCTAACTCCCAGAATCAAAAAGATAATAATAAAATCATATCACTAAAAAATATCAATAAAACACAAAGGAAGCTAGCAAAAGAGAAAAAGAAAAGCTACAAGAGAAGCAAATCTTCTAACAAAGAAAAGCCAAGGACTAGATAACTGGCTTCACTTGAGCAATCTACCAAAGCATAAAAAATAAAGTTATTTATTCTCAAACTCTTCCAAAATAATTTAAAAGAACACTTCCAAACTCATTTTCTGAGGCTAGTATTATGCTCATAGCAAAGTCACAGAAAGACACTGAGAGAAAAAAAAAAAAACTAGAAACCAAGACCCCTGATTAATATATATGCAAAAATCTTCAAAAAAATAATAGCAAACCAAATTTAACAGCATGTTAAAGGGACCATACAGCAAGACCAAGTAGGGCTTATTTTTGGGATACAAGGATGGTTCAACTTTCGAAAATAAATCAATGTAATAACCCTATTAACAGAATGAAAGATAAAATTTACATAAAAATTACACCACATGTAAAATAGAATGACAAAGTTCAGCACCCTTTTTTGACAAACACACTCAACAATTTAGAAATAGAAAAATTACCTCATCATAATAAAGGCCATATATGAAATGATCATGGCTAATGTCATATACAACAGTAAAGAATTGAAAGCTTTTTCTCTAAAATCAGAAACAATACAAGAATCTTCACTCTTACCAATGCTATTCGGTGTAGTACTGGAAGTCTTAGCCAGAACAATTAGTCAGGAAAAATAAATAAAAGGCATCAAAATTGGAAGGAAACTACGTCTGTTCATAACTCACATGGTTTTTGTTTGTTTGTTTGTTTGAGATGGAGTCTCACTCTGTCACTCAGGCTGCAGTGCAGTGGTGCTATCTCGCTCACTGCAACTTCCGCCTCCTGGGTTCAAGTGATTCTCTTGCCTCAGCCTCCTGAGTAGCTGGGACTACAGGCACACACCACCACGCCTGGCTAATTTTTGTATTTTTAGTAGAGACGGGGTTTCACCGTGTTAGCTAGGATAATCTCGATCTCCTGACCTCGTGATCCACCCGCCTCTGCTTCCCAAAGTGTTGGGATTACAGGCGTCAGCCACGACGCCTGGCCTCACATGGTCTTATATGTAAACAACCCTAAAGATTTCACACAAAAAATCTATTAGAATAAAGGAATTCAACAAAATTACAGGACAGTCAATATAAAAATGAATTGCATTTCTGCGTGCTAAGAACAAACAATTTGAAAAGAATATTTAAAAAGCAATCCCATTTACGATAGCATCAAAAAGAATAAAATTCTTAGGAATACAGTTAATCAAAACAGCAAAAGACTGGTATACTAAAAATTAGCAAATATTGCTGAAATAAAGAAGACCTAAATAAATGGAAAGATATCCCATGTACATGAAGTGAAAATACTGTTGAAATGCCCATACTACCCAAAGTGATTTACAGATTCAATGCAATCTCTATTAAAATCTCAATGGTATGTTTTACAGAAATACAAAAAAAATCCAAAATTTTTATGAAAGCACACAGAATCTTGACTAGCAAGGCAATCTTGATAAATAAGAACAAAACTGGAGATCTCGCACTTCCTGACTTCAAAACACATTACAACACTATGGTGATCAAAATAGTATGACACTAACATAAGACTGGATGTATAAACCAATACAATAGACAGCCTATAAATAGGCCCACACACATATGGTTAAATAACCTTCAACATGGTTGCCAACACTATACAATGGGGAAAAGATTAGTCTCTTCAACAAATGGTATTGGAAAAACTGGTTATCCACAAGCAAAATAATAAAATTGGACTTGATTAAAAATATTATCTCATCAATTTAAATTGCATAAAGATATGTGGTCAATTTATGTTAAGGTGTTTTAGAATTTAGCATAATGTACTGTGTCATTTGATATTACCTTTTAATACTTGGCAAATGTCTTTAGTTTGTGCATAAATGCAATAATTGCATGTGACTTTGATGACCATCGTGTATCTACATATGTGTTTATATATATTTTAGGACAGGCATAATAATATTTTCTGTTGATTGAGATTAAAAATTTGTACAAATCTAAAAAGGTTATCATATTCTAAGTCAGAAAGCAACATAATTGCAGTTTAAATCAAACATTGTATACTGAATAAGACACACATTTTACCATTACAATTTTCACAGGAAAAAATGGTTTGGTCACTGTTTGTATGCACCCCTCTTCTCTGTTCCATTTTCATATCCTTAGCCAAAAGCACATGTCATGTCAGCATCATATTTTTCCAATTTACAAATCATCAGGAAAATGCAAATAAAAAGCCCAATTAAATATCACCTAACACCTGTTAGGATGGCCATTATATAAATTAAATAAATAAATAGTGGAGATATTGGAAACCTTGTATATGTTGATGGGAATGTAAAATGGTGCAGCCACAATGAAATACAGTATAGAAGTTCCTAAAATAATTAAAAATAAAACTACCATATGAGCCAGCAATTTTATTTCTGGATATTTATTCAAAGGAATTGAAGTCAGGATATCATATATTTGTACTTCTGTGTTTATTACATCATGATTAAGAATAACCAAGAAGTGGAAACAACTTACCTGTCCATTGATGAACGAACTGATAGAGAAAATGTTACATACACATACAACAAAATATAATTCATCCTTAAAAAAGAAGGAAATCCTGTCACATGCTACAACATAGATGAACCTTCAGAACATTATGCTAAGTGAAATCAACTAGTCACAGAAAGACAAATACTCCACAACTCTATTTATACGTATCACCAAAATAATCAAACTCATGGAAGCAGAGGAAATAAAATGATGTTTGCTAGACAGTGGGGAGATGAAGAAATGGGATGTTGCCATTCAATGAATATAGAGTTTCCTTCAAGCAAAATGAAAAATTCAAGAAATCTTCTGTACAGAAATCTGGATATCGTTAACAACACTGTACTGTATACTTAAAAATTTGTTAAGGGATTAGATTTCACGTTGTGCAATTTTTACCACAATAAAAAATTATACACAAAGACAATTTCTCCAAAACTTTAGTTATAAAGGTGATCAATATAGGCTACATAATGACACACCATCTTCCAATGGAACTTCATTTATAAAAGAATTCATGGCAAGTTCCCAAAAAATATGATTTTAATATAGCTTATAGTAACACTTATTTTATTAAAATTATAATGAAACATATATAATTTTCTTTTTGCTTTTTAATGAATTTATCATGGGTTTTCACATGTCCTTGTGATATGTATATAATATCACTTGCCTAGCTAACGTTCTTTAGTTAAGTTTTATGAAAAAATTATAGCAGATATATCTAATTTTCATATAATCATAGTAGCATAGATATGGATTCAAGTCTTGTAAAATTAGTCTACACAAATTAAAAACATTATTTGTTATTTCAATTATTAACATATTATTAACATACTTGGCCAAAAGAAGACTATATGATAGTGGTAGCAATAATTCTACAAAATAATGGCATGCAATATAAGTATAACTAAGACAGATATTATAAACATGTAGATTCTTCACCAGCAAGTTGTAATCACTGCAGATCCATAATGTGTGTTTATGGTTTGTGCGTGTCGGTAACGGAGAATATTTAAGATAAAATGACTATTATCATAAAACATTTTATTAACGTCAATATAATCATCTAATGAAATAGGTCAGGCCAAAAAATTTCTATTGCCTAGGTCACTGCTTCACTTTCCTTTCTTTTTCCACATGTTTTTTCAGCTTGGCTCATGGTGTAGGCTGCAGCCCACCACCTCTTTCATAAAAGTGTGTGGTATCTTTCAGTTTTCCTGTTAAGTTCCTGCATTGATTCCTGGAAAAATGTTTATGATGTGAATCTCTCCACACCATTTTGTCTTTCTAAGCTGCAGAGGTGTTCTGTCATAAATTACTTCATTTTTGCATTACTTTGCAAACATATTTATAAGATTTTAAAAGTCAGTACTTGTTGAAAAGTTTTACAGCAGTCCTTTTATGCCATGACTTCTGAATTCAATGTTCATATTATTTTTGAATATTACACTCCTGAGAATATCTTCTTGTCGTCTCATACATGAATATGTACTTAAATATACAGAAACTCTTTTAGTCACATTATTTTCATTCGAAATGTTTATTATACCATTTATTTTCTTCTATTTAATGTGATAAAAATGAAGTTGATTTTTGCTTTATTTAGAGATACATAGTTAAATTCAGGAAATAGAGAAACAAATTATATAATACCTAAAGAAGATAGATAGTTCTCGAATATGTAGCATTCTACAAGAAAACTGACCTGAATTCCTCAAAAAGTCAATGTTATGAGAGAACAAAAGGATTGGAAACCTTTCTGGATTAAAACTGTCTAAAGAGACATAACAACCAAATACAATGGGCAAATGCTATTAGATCTTAGCCCCAAAAAACGAATACTTAAAAAATCCCAGATGTTTCGAAATTGAGGACAACTGGGGACACTTAAATATGGGTAGACACTAGATCATATTAGGTAATTCTATTTAATTGGTAATAACAGCATTGTGGTCATATAACAAAATGTCTCCTTTCTTAGAAGATGCTTCTGGAAATATTTAGGGGTAAATTTTTTAAGATTCCTGCAACTTAAATGGCTCAGGATATGAAATGTAAATGTCAGGTGTATATATGTGTGTGTATGTATACACACACACATACAGAAATGTAATAGGGTAAAACATTCATAATCATTCAATTTAGTGGATGGGTAGAGAAGTACTCTATTTTCTGTACGTTTGACATTTTTTAAAATGAAATTTGAGAGAAAATAAAAAGAACAGTGACGTGATGGTGGTTGCATTTTTTGCTGACTAGATGCTCACAGACATCATTTCTTTTTGAAAAATATCACTATAATGTCATAGATTTTTGTCTCATTTCATAATTTTTGCCTAATATCCTATGTCCTTGCAATTTATTTTTGGCATTGCCTCACTTAATTGGGAGTTAACACTTTGTGTTTCCTTTTAAACTATTCTCTTCAGAAATTTATCTAGTAGAAATTACTTTAAATTCAGAGCATGTGGTTGATAAACTACTCTGTGTCTGGGAAATGATTTTCTTTGGGTTTTAATTTCTTTAGCCTTTCTTTCTTCATAATGTAGAGAACAGAAATTAGGTATCTGTGCTTGTTCTAAAAATGTCATTGTACCCAGGAGATTGTGGATCTTTATTTATATGGACTTCTTATTCTTCATTTTTCTTGATTTGGACTGAAGGTTGTCTTAATTTTCTTCTGTCTTTAGAAACCAATATCTTATTGAATGTAAGATCTATGTATACAAATTCTCAGGACAAATTGAAAGCAGGAGATGCCAGATCATGTCAGTAATAAAGAAAATAAATAAAGAAAGAATCCATATTTTTACACAAATAGGCCATCAATGTATGTGTGCTACAATTGAAAACACATGGTTTTATTTCCATTATTCTATGTTCTATCAGAATTTAGAACTAGCAAAGTAAGAGTCTTGATGACTTTGCAGGATAGAGAAAATCTAGGGTTGGGAAATTAGAAAGAAAGCATAAATTAAACAAATTCCAAGGATATGAAACAGAAGAAGAGAAAGTGCTTATTAACTAAAAAAAATTCGGAGATTGGTACTGGAAATAGGTAATATGGGTATTCTGAATTTATTCCTGACAATCCTCTTCTAGATGTTAAAACATGACTCATGCCTGTAATCCCACCTCTTTGGGAGGCGGAAGTTGGGGGGTTGCTTGAGGCCAGGAGTTTGAGATCATCCTGGGCAACATTGTGAGACCTCATCTCTATAGAAAATGAAAAAGAATTTAGTTGGGTGTGGTAACATGCAACAGTAGTCCTTGCTACTTGGGAAGTTGATGTGGGAGGATTGCTTGAGCCCAGAAGTTCAAGGTTACAGTGAGTTATGACCATACCACTGTACTCCAGCCTGAGCAATAGAATGAAACCCTGTCTTAAAATCAAACAAACAAACAAACAAAACACATTAATTTCAGCAAGCAGAATATACAGTTTCAATCACTCAGTGGATTACTATGAATTATCATAGCAGGGAAATCAGCTTTGTGGGTTACTTTTTGTTCAGTAATTCTCTGTTTTCTACCATTGAGGGGGCTAAAAGATGCCCACAGTAGTCACACTGAAGACGACTTTGGAAAATACCTCATTTAAAAAATTACCTTCCTTCTTCAAGAAATGAACGACAAATGAAGTTGCAAACAAATATGTGAGCACAAAACCAGAATTCTACAGTATTTTAAATCTCAAGCAACAAATTTAGTCCTTTCCTAGATTCCCATATTAATATTAATTTTCTATTTTTTTCTATTCAGCATTTTGCTTCCATGTTCTGATACTATGTGTGAAGTTGAAGACACAGAGAATGACGCTGATTCACAATAATATTACAATTTTTACATGATGTGTACTTGTCTGATCCTAAGCTGAATCCTTGTTCTAAGGTATTGTGAAATATAACTCTTCTGAATTGAAGTGTAGAAGTAGAGTGTCAACAAAATTTTATATTAAATTAAAAAATACAAATAAATAAGAAGGCAAGGGTGAAGGGGTAATGGCTATAACAAAAGTGTACTTTTCTAGAAAAAAATCAGCAGCAAGATAAATCATTGCTGTCTCAGAATTTAAAATCATGCTTCAATTTTCAAAAATCTTTTTAATCAAATGTCGTTTTGGTTTAACAAAGAGATGTGCTTGTATATTCTTAGATCATACTTTACAACTCCAAAACAATTTAATCTAGAGTTCAGGCCATTGCTTCCCAGATCATAAAAATCAAGTAGGGTGTTTGTTTAAAATAAATATTTCTTACTTACAAGTTTGGACCGAATGAACCAGAAACCCCAGTGGATGTTCTTAGGAATATGTAATGTATCAAGATATCCACTTGGGAAATTTGGAAAACACCAATTTAGGTTAGAAATGCAAGGATGTCACATTTTTTTTTTAAATTGTTGTGTGTCAATTTTGGTGAGTGGCCGAAGATTAAAATTACACTTTCACTGACTCTGTTTATTTCACTATTATGTCCTGCTTTTTGCTGCAAGAAAATAGGTATTGCATGGAATTTTTATAGCTTTTTAATGGGTAAGTCATAATTACATTTTCCTCTGAATATTGAACCACCTAAATAAACCAACATAAAATATTGAACCACCTAAATTTTAAAGATCTATTCATTACAAATTGTCTACCACTGCCCTTTGAGCAGTAGTTTTAGGAAGCTATAGAATACAGTAATTAACAGTTCAGGCTTGGAATCTAACTACTTATTTTGGGGTCTCTGCCCTGCCACTTACTAAATGGGAGACCTTGATCAAATTATTTAACAAACATATACTTCAGTTTTCCTGAGAGCTTAAAACAGACAAAAAATAGTAACTGACTCATAAGGTGGTTGTGATGAATAGGTTTATTAGTACATACATTGACACCTGGAATCTACTAAGCCTGTAATACATGTTAGTTATTGTATCACCAACATAGAGGTATTGGCAGATAAGCATTAGAATTAAATTATAGCTATAAATAACAAACTTTTGCATTGTAATAATATTTCAAATAGGAGCAATTATACAAGACTTTTTCAAAACCATATACATTCAAGAATTTTGATACTGCTTTCCCAAACATTTAATAATAAATTCTAAATGTAGATTAATTACATACACAAGTAAATAATGTAACACAATTAATTTAAAATCTTTTAATTAAACATTCATGATAATTGAATAGAAGGTAATTCCTAGTTTACCTTTGCTTAGCAATTCTTTTCTTCAAGGAGTATGCACATTAATTAAATAAAAATAATTATAAAACTAATGCATAAAATGCTCAAGAGTTTATTGCTTTAAGTACCCTCAATCATTATAAGGTTATTTATATATGATTCACATTCTATTTTCAAATAGTATATAAATGTGTATATATATACACACATATATATATAAATATATAAATATAAATAATTATTGTGGTAAGTCTTCTATAAATTTTTACTAAACCAGTCTCTCTCAAACGTTACTGAACATCTGAATCACCTGAGGAGTGTTTCAAAATGCAGATTCTTCACTGAAGCATTATATCCAGAATTTTTGCTCCATGGATCAGCTTTAATGGATCAAAAGATACATCCTTATACATCCTTAGCCTATTTGTAGGCAGTGAAACTTAGAATAGAAAATAAGTCAAACTTCCAGTGTTTCCAGCTGCCACTGAAACATATTCATATTCTGCTTGTTCCTACTTTCAAGTCTAGTGTCACCGCGCATCACTGAGCAATACATCCTTCTATAAACACTCAATCCCATAGTTGTCTATAAATCCTCAAATCTGACCTCATTCCCTTTCCCCACTATAGCACACAGACACACATACACACTAACACACACACACAAGCACACACTTCACCACCTTTACTAAATGTTGTAGTTGTCTTTCTGGAGCTCAAAAGTGATCAATAGCAAACATTTCTACATATTCCAACTGTACCTTGAATACGCCTTTCACTTTATTTCACTCAAAAAGATACAGCTTTTTCTAAAGCTCTCTCAAGCACAGCCTCCTCCCCATCTGCATCATGCCAGAGCCTGGTGATAGATAAGCGGCTTCCTTACTTCCCACCACTTCCAGACTGTCTTCCTTTTATACAAAAACAAGTTCCTTTCAAATATATCATTGGATGTTACTACTTGCAAGTGCTCCATGTCGCTGACATGTATCAACCTAGACACAATATTTAATTCATAAAATATTTAATTTAATACTTATTTTACGGTAGCTCACTTCATCATCATTCCTAAAAACTTCTTTATCCATATAGACAAGAAACTCAAGATGCTAGCTTCTGATTCTTCATCAGGCTAGCTTCTTTCGTCTCATGGCTAATGTTTTTATCATCCACCTCAATTCAGCTACACAATCTCATGGTTCTATCTTTGGCTATTGGGTTTCAACCTTTTTAGATCAATATAGTTTACTGTTAACTCCATGGTGTACAAAATATCTGGATGATGTTGGAGAAAACTCACAAAACCATGTTGATTGGATTTGCTGAAAAGTTATGACATAGTTTATCAAGTGAATAATCAACACTGACAAAATTTTTACTACACTTCTCTAAAAATTTCATTTCCTTTTCTCAAAGACAGGTATTTTAACCCTTATTTTTTCTTCTCAAAGTCTTAGTCAGAATCACCTACCTCAGCTAATGACCTAGATATAAACTTCATGGAAAAACATGCAATTAGGATATAATGACTTTGACATTCATATCATACATTCTACCATTATATACACATACACAGTGCTTTCCCTTTTAAAACAATAGAGAATGAGAAAGAGGACAAGTTGGCTGACTAGATGCTGCCAGGAAGCACCACTTCCATTGAGAGAGCTCAAATTATCCAACAAACCAGGATAATTTGCTGAGAGTGGATGGAGAGCCAATGCTGATGATGAGGCTGAAGAGAGAAAAAACTGGGAAACTTGCACAGGGAACCTGAATGCCAGAGCTAGTTTCTAGTCTTGAATGGCTTTTGGGAAAGAGATGAGGGAGGGAACTTAGGGACAACTCATTCTTATTGTGGTTCTCTGGTATCCCAGCTATAGGAGACCCTGCATTTCCCATGAACCTGCAACCTGGCAGGGGGATCTCCCCAGGCAGTGAGAAAAGACAGGCCTTTTAGAAAACAGCACAGAGCCCAGGAGCTTCAATCCTGGGAAGATCCAGTGGAGCGAAGCCATATATGCCCATCTCCAGGGCTCCCCATCACCCTCTGGGAGGCACGGGCCCCAGCTGACCTCTGAGTCAGGAAAGTGCAGAGCCAACTTCCCCATGGGACTGGAGCATATCTGCTCTGCAAGCCCTCCTGCCTGCCAGTCCTTCTGAGTCTATGCCAAGCCATCCTGCAGGATTGGATGCACAGTGCAGCCACCACAGCGCAACCTAAGTGCATTGCTGAACCTGAGTAATTTCCAGGTGACCCAGGAGCATATCGGATCTCCCAGGGTAGCCAAAACCTCAACCTGAGCCACAGACATTCTGGACTTCAGCACACGAGTGTGGAGTCAAGACCTGTGGCCGACCCTCAAATGGGAGAGGAGCCTTCGCCCTCAGAGCACTGAGAGGGATGAGATATGCAGGTTCCTGACCTGGAGTGGGAGCAGGGCATGCCTCTTTCCGCAGAGCTGGTCCACGGAGTGTGTGGCATATCTCTCTGCCACAGCCTCTGTCGGAGGGGGCCCCGTGGCCTAGAACACCTAACAAAGTAATGCAGATGCAGTGCTAGCAATCGAAGATGCTCTTTTAAGGCCCAGGAGTGAACCGCGTGAGGGGGCCACTTCTTCCCTCAAACTCACCGCAGAGCTTGCCTGTGAATTCAAGCATGTACAAAAAACCTACACAGTTGAGTATTAACCTAGGTACTGGCCATTACTCTTAAGCGCCATCTACTGGGTCACAGCCCAAACGACGACAACAAAAATGTATCCTACTAACGTACACAACTGTGAAACCGAGCACCATAATTCACCCACAGGTAAAGATTTATAGCCCTCTGAAAGCATTTAGGAATGAAGCCAACTGACTATACTTAAATCACACCACAGTTAAAAGAACAACAACCCTCTCAGATGAGAAATAATTAGTGCAAGAAATCTGGCAATTCAAAAAGCCAATGTTCCTTTACCTCCAAACAAGTTCACTAGTTCCCAGAAATGTTTTTTAACCAGTGTGAAATGTCTGAAATGACAGATATACAATTCAGAACCTAGATGTCAAGGAAACACATCAAGATTCAGAAGAAACTTGAAATTCCATCCAAGAAATCCAAAGAATCCAGTAAAATCATCCAAAACCTAAAAGATGAAATAGCCATGGAAGAAAGAACCTAATTGAACTTCTAGAGCTGATAAACTCCCTATAAAAATGTCATAACACAATTGGAAGTACTAACAGCAGACTAGACCAAGTAGAGGAAAGAATCTCAGAGCTCAAAGACCAATTCTTCAAATTAACTCATTCAGACAAAAAATTTAAAAATGAATTGAGAAAAATAAACAAAATATCCAAGAAATATGTCATTATGTAAACAAACCAAATATATGACACATCAACATTTTTGAGAGGCAAGGACAGAGGATAAGCAACTTGGAAAATATATTTAAGGATACGGTCCATGATAATTTTCCTAATATGCGTAGAGAGGTTGACATGTAAATCCAAGAAATACAGAGAACCTCAGATAGAAACTACATGACATAACTGTCCCCAAGGCACATAGTCATCATATTCACCAATGTCAATGCAAAAGAAAAAAAATCTTAAAGGTAGCTAGAGATAGAGATGACCAAGTGAAGTACAGAGGGAACCCAATCAGGCACGCAGCAAATCTCTCAGCAGAAGAGATGGGAGACCTATTTTCAGCATTTTTTTAAACATTCCAACCAAAAATTTCATATTCTATCAAAATGTGCTTCATACATGATGGAGAAATAAAACCCATCTCAGACAAGCAAATACTGAGAGAAAATACATTTCAACTAGACAAGGCCTACAAGTTGTCCTTAAGAGAGCGCTGAACATGGATTCAAAAGAATGACACCTGCTACCACAAAATCACACTCAAGCCCATAGCACACAGGTGCTATAAAGCAACTACACAATCAAGTATACACAACAATCAGCAAACAACATAATGACAGAATCAAAATCACACATATCAGTAGTAATCCTGAATGTAAATGAGATAAATGTCCACTTAAAATACAGAGTGGCAGACTGGATGAAGAAGCAAAATCCAACTGTTTGTGATTTTAAAGAAACCCGTCCCACATGTAGTGACACCCACAGACTCAAAGTAAAAAGAATGAAAAAGATCTACCATGGAAATGAAAGATGAAAAAGAGGAGGAGTTGTTATTCTTACATCAGATAAAGCAGACTTTAAACCAATGTATTAGTCCATTCTTGCATTGCTATGAAGAAATATCTGAGACTGGGTAATTTATAAAGAAAAGAGGGTTTAATTGGCTCATGGTTCCACGGTCTGTACAGGAAGAATAATTCCAGCATCAGCTCAGCTTCTGGGGAGGCCTCGGGAAACTTCAATCATGGCAGAAGGCAAAGACGGAGCTGGCATCTCACATGACCCGAGCAGCAAGAGAAAGAGAGAGAGGGAGGCGCTACACACTTATAAACAACCAGATCTTGTAAGAACTCTATCAGGAGAACAGTACTAGTGTGATGTTGCCAAACCATTCATGAGAAACTGCCACCATAATTCAACCACCTCCCACCAGGCCCCACCTCCACCATTGGGGATTACAATTCAACATGAGATATGGGCAGGTACACAAACCCAAATCATATCAATCAATAAAAATTCAGAATAAGGAGGGGCATTACATAATGATAAAGGGTAGACTCCAACAAAAAACCTTAACTTTCATAAATATATATGTACCCAACTTTGGAGCACCAAGATTCATAAAATAAGTTCTTTTAGGCCTAACAAAAGACCTAGATAACCACACAATAATGGGAGACTTGAACACCCTACTTACAGTATTAAACAGATCATTGAGGCAGAAAACTAACAAAGAAGCTCTGGACTTAATACTTGACCAATAGGACCTAATAGACATCTACAGAACACTCCACCCAACAACCACAGAATGTACATTCTTCTCATCTGCACACAGAAGTATTCTAGGATTACCTAAGTGCTTCGTCATAAAGCAAGACTCAATAAATGTTTTAAAAATCAAAATTATACCAAGCACATTCTTGGACCACAGTGCGAAGACAATATAAATAAATATCAAAAATATACCTTAAAATGGCACAAATAAGTGGAAATTAAACAACGTGCTCCTGAATAACTTCCAGGTGAACATCAAAATTAAGGCAGAAATTTAAAAATTACTTTAAATTAATGAAAACAGGGACACAACGTACCAAAATTTCTAGAGTGTAGCTGAAGCAGTGTTAAGAGAAAAATTTATAGCCCTTCATCAAGGCAAAGTTTACAATACCTTCATCAAGAAGTTAAAAAGATCTCAAATTAACAATATAACTCTGCACCTAAAGAAACTATTAAAAAAAAAAAACTACCCCAAAGCTCCAGAAGGAAAGAAATAACCAAAATTAGAAAATAAGCTAATGAAATTGAAATTCAAAAATCCATTCAAAATATAATTAAACCAAGAGTTGGTTCTCCAAAAAACAATGTAAGATTGATAGACTGTTAGATAAACAAAGAAGAAAAGGAGAGAAGATTCAAATAAGTACATTCAGAAATGACAAAGATGACATTACAACTCATACCAGAAATATAAAAATGATCTTCAGATAACACTACAAACAACTCCTTGCATACAAATTAGAAAATCTAGAGGAAATGGAAAAGGTCCTGGAAACATACAATCTCCAAAGATCGAATCAGGATGAGATTGAAACTCTGAATAGGGTTCAGTATAGAGTTCTGAAATTGAACTTGTGATGAAAACAATCTATAAACCCAAAAAAGCCCTGGACCACATGGATTCACAGTCAAATTCTACCAGGCATAGAGAGAAGAACTAGTACCAATCATTTAAAAAAATAAAGGAGGAGGGACTCCTCCTTAACTCATTATATAAATCCAGCATCAGCCTAATACGAAAATCTGGCTGAGATAAGACTAATAAAGGAAACTTCAAGCCAATATCCCTGATGAACATAGATGGAAAAATCCTCAACAAAATACTAACAAATCAAATCAGCAGAACATAAGAAAGTTAACTCACCATGACCAAGCAGGCTTTATTCCTAGGATGCATGATTTTTTCAATATTCACAAATCAAAATGCAATTTACCACATAAAGACAAAAGCATAAAACATATGGCCATCTCAATAGATGCAAAAAAGCTTTATATAAAATCCAAAAACTTTTCATGATAAAAACCCTCAACAGACTAGGCATTGCAAGAACATATCTGACAATAATGAGCCATTTATGTCAAACTTACAGTCAACATTATACTGAATAGATAATAGCTGGAATCATTCCTCTTGGGAACTGAAATAAGGTAAGGATGCCCACTCTCACCACTCCTATTCAAAATAGTACTGGAAGTCTTAGCCAGGGCAATCAGAAAAGAAAAAAAAAAAAAAACACAACCAAATAGGAAAAAAAAAGAAGTCAAACTATCTCTTTTCACTGATGATATTCTATACTTGGAAAACTCTAAAGACTCCACCAAAAGGCAACTAGAACTGATAAATGACTTCAGCAACGTTTCAGGATATAAAATCAATATACAAAAAATTAGCAGCATTTCCACACACCAACAACATCCAGGTCAAGAGTCAGGTCAAGAACATAATATCATTTACAATAGTCACAAATAAAATGAAATACTTAGAAATAGAATACAGCTCACTAAAGAGGTGAAAGATCTTTACAAAGAGAACTACAACACACCGCTGAAAGAAATTAGAGGCAACACAAATAAATGGAAAGTCATTTCATGCTCATGGATTGGAAGAATCAATATTATTAAAATGGCCATACTGTCCAAAGCAATTTACAGATTCAACGCTATTCTTATTGAACTATCAACATCATTTCTTCACAGATAGAAAAAAATATATAAAACTCATGTGGAACCAAAAATAGCCTGTATAGCCAAAGCAATCCTAAGCAAATAACACAAAGCTAGAGGCTTCACTCTACCTGACTTCGAACTACATTACAATGTTACAGTTACCAAAACAGCATGGTACTGGTACAAAAGCAGACACATAGATCAATGGAACAAATTATGTAACTCAGAAATAAAGCTGCACACCTACAACCATCTAATTTTTAACAAAGCTGACAAAAACAAGCAATGGGGATGATAACTCTCCATTAATTAAATGGTGATGGATAATCATATGCAGAAGAATGAAATTAGACCCTTTTTTTCATCATATACAAAAATTAACTCAAGATAGATTAAAGATATAAATGTAAGACCTTTAACTATAAAAGTCCTAGAAGAAAATTTAGGATACACCCTTTTTGGTAAATAATTTATGGTCATGTCCACAAAACCAATTAAAACAAAAACAAAAATTGACAAATGACTAATTAAAATGACTAATAAAAAATGACTAATTAAAGAGCTTTTGCACAGCAAAAAACAAAACAAAACAAAAAAACTAACAACAGAGAAAACAGACAACCTACAGAATGGTAGGAAATGTTTGCAAACTATGCATCTGACAAAGGTCTAATATCCAGAATCTATAAGGAACTTAAACAAATCAACAAGCAAAAACCAAGCAACCCCATTAAAAAGTAGGCAAAAGACCTGGATACTTCTCAAAGGAAGTCATATAAGTGGCCAGCAAATATTTGAAAAAATGCTCATCATCACTAATCATCAGAGAAATGCAAATCTGAAACTACAATGATATACCATCTCACATCAGTCATGATGACCATTATCAAAAGGTTAAAAAAAAAAGATGTTGGTAAGGCTGCAGAGAAAAGGGAACATTTACACACTGTTGATGGGAACATAGATTAGTTCAGTCACTGTGGAAAGCAGTTTGGAGATGTCTCAGAGAACTTAAAACAAAACTACCACTCAACCCATCAATCTCATTGCTGGGTATATACTCAAAGGTATATAGATTATTATACCAAAAAGACACATGCACTTGTAGGTTCTTCACTGTGATATTCACAATAGCAAAGATGTAGAGTCAACCTAGTTGCCCATCAATGGTGAATTGGATAAAGAAAACATGGTATATACACACCACAGAATATGCACAGTCATAAAGAAGAATGGCTAGAGCTGTAGACCATAATCCTAAGCAAATTAACATAGGAACAGAAAAGCAAATACCACATGTTCTCACATATAAGTTGGAGCTAAACTTAGACCACACGTGGACATTAACATGGCAACAATAGACACTGCAAACTACTGGGAAGAGAGGGTGGCTGGGGGATGAGCTTTGGAAAACTACTTATTGGGTGCTATGCTTACTACCTGGGTCCAATATATCATATAACAATCCTACACATGTATCCCTTGTATCTAAAATAAAAACTGAAATTAAAAAAAAATTGAAATATACTAAGGAAGGAAGGGATTAAAGCTTTAAGTGTCTGAATAGAACACCTGTAATATGTATGTATACCTATATATGTAATATTTTATATGTGTATATATATATATATACACACACACTTTATTCTCACATGAGAGAACTGAAGAAATATTTAATATGTGTTTAGGGACAGTAAGAATAATGGGTAACTTTTTCTGGTATGAAACAATGCTTCTAGATACCACAGTCTTATTTTATATCTGCCTTCTTTCAAAATAAGCTTGTTGTATATGAATAAAACAGACCAAGTGTTTGCGCGACCATATAAAATAGCTCTTCCACTTTTCCCTTAATTTCACACATTCATATCTTCTCCATGACCATTATTTTTTTATTATATCTCTGTTTCACTTCTGTGTTTTCAACTTCTGTCTCTACTGAGTCAATTCAATCAGCATGTATCCATATCTTCACATCGTTTTTTGTATTTTGAAAACACACACACACACACACACACACACATTTATTACTGCTACTATGACTACTACCATTACTGACACCTTGAATCCAGATTTTCCTTCAGCTACTTCTGCTGGTAGGAATGGAATTCTTCTAGACAAACCCTATGTTCTCAAGACTGCACCTTTCTAAAGAGATAACATATTTTTGTTTCTATTTGATTTTTGATTACCAGAATAGGCACATGTCTAGAAGGGATGACTTTGTCCAATTTAGAAGAAGTTTATTCTTTGGTAGGTTAACAAATTCCTTGAGATGGTTCAAGTCTCTGCTCCCTTTACGATTCTTCTATTTATGAATTTTTTTCTGGGTAATCTCATCCAGTCCCACAACTCCGAATACAATTTGCTGAACTTTTTCTGTAGTCTGGATTTTATATCCAACTACTTTCCTAAATTCTCCACTCACTTGTCTAATGAGCATATCAAAGTCAACAATGCTATAACAGAACTATAATTTTACTCCCAAATCTGTCTATCCAAATATTTTCTATCACAGTGAATCAATGTATTTCCCTCCACCCACTCTTGCAACCCTAGAGGAGCTCTCCATATCACGGTTTTATAAACTTTATAAAACTTAAATCAGATACTACTACTCAAGAGTTTACAATGGATTCTCATTGTATTCAGAATAAAAATCAATATCCATACCATGGCCTACATATTACTACATGACTTTGCCCCTACCTACATCTTCTATATCATCTACTTTCTTTTTTTCCTGCTTCCCTAAGCTCCAGACAAAATGGGTTCCTTTAGGTACCTATTACAAGGCTTTACACTTTTCTAATCCAATTACTTAGGTTTTCGCTTCAAAATTTACATGGTTGATCCCTTCTCGTCATTCAAGGCTCAAGTCAAATGTCAACTCTTTAGAAACATTTTCTCTAAAATGACCTTTACTAGGGCAGTGGCCATGCTCCACAGCCAGTTCATCTCTGCCATATCACCTTATTCTATTTTCTTCATAGTTACCAAAATCATTTTACTAATATATTTGCATGTTTATTTTTTCTCCACTAGAATTGTTTAAATGCAGGTACTTTCTTTGACTTATTCTCAGCTGCAGTCTTAGCATTAGACACGTAGTCAGGATTCAAATGTAGACTGAATGACAGAATAAAGTGACACCCATAGAGAAGTGTGGATTTACATCCTAAGTCAGTCACAGAATACTCTTGAACAGTTATCAAATTTCTTGTTCAGTTTCTTCATTTATAAAATGTAAACAATAATGATGTCCATCTTTATGGTTTTTCTGCAGGTTAAATGATATAATGTATGCAAATGTGTGTAAGAGGGTTTAGCACACATTAAGAGCTCAAGTAAAACTTATAATTGTATACATTATATAAAAATAACTTTTACATTAATTATATAATACATACATATCACTAACTAGAACTACCTAACATAATCTGAAATAATTTTGACTTATTATCTATATACTTGAAAAGCTATTCAATGGCTTCTTCAAATATCCAAAGCATGAGATATTGGAAAAATACATTTTGGGTTGAGGTTTTTTAGATGTAAATAAGTTCATAAGCTTGAACAAATTTATTTATGACCAAGATCTATTCTAATTTTAATTATTTTCCATAATATAATATTTATTGATTTTCTGACTTTACATTGGTTTATATAAATATATAAATATTACATATTGGCAATAAGAAAATGAGGGTTGTTTAGTTATTAGCTAAATTATGTGTAATTTGTGTAACAAATCATGTGCCATAATTTACAACATGGCTAAGTTAAAATTCTAATGCTGTATCTTCCCTAAAGACCTTTTTGCTATATTCTGGGATAGTTTTTAAAAGAGGCAAAAAGCAGAGATTTAATATTGAGCTTAAGCTATGTAACCTTTTTTCAAGACAAAATGGATAATAAAATACAGCAAGAAATATAGCACTCCTGGAGCTACATAATTTGGACACTCTCCTAATGCAATCTGCCATTAGAAACTGTATTAGTTTACAGTCATTATTGCTAGTTGGTACTATTCAAAACACTCTTAAGAATAAATGACCACATAGGCTAAGAAGCAGTCCAATAAATGTGAAAATTCATCTTACGTTATTCCCCACTGACAAAAAATTAGCACTTTCTTAATGGCTCACAACATGTTTAATAGATAAGAAGGAAAGATAGTGTGCAATAAAGTGTAAAGTGAAAAACATTAACTTAAAGTAAATGGCAAATGTTCTCTTTAATTGTAATGCTTTCAGTTTTTTTGGGCTCAGAACATCTTAAATTTATTACATCCTAATACTTATAAGAGCAAGTGCTGCTTCCATGAACAAAAGTCTTAGTGGAATTTACAGTAATCTGTACCTTAATTGCAAATTTTATGTTCACAAATATTATATTTATATTTTATAATAAAGTGAAAATACAATGGAATTTAAAATTTAAGTACATGAATATGAGTGCAAAGAGGACTACAGACCATTTCCAAAGGTTATACCAAAATAAATGTGGGCAACATTGAATTTTTATCTGTGTGATAGCTAGGAAGTTAATCTTCCATCAGTCTTATCAACTTTCTAAAGGTACCTTACGAAACAATAATAATTATGCATCTTGAATCTGGAGGTCTTCAAATCAAATATACCATCAGTTTTTACAATTTTTTTGGTTTATATGGCTATGAGTCTAATGCAGCCACATCATAAACCAAGTGCATCATTAATATCTAAGTTTATTTATTCAGATTGACAGCATTTGTTCCCACATATATATTATGAGAATACATGTAATATATAATGTATATATATACACATATACAATCCTGAGTATGTATATATTATAAACATATATAATATAATGTATAATATATAAATAATATGTATATAAATAATATATGCATATATTAATATATACCTATATAAATATATAAATATATATACTCTAGACTTACTGGTAAGACATTTGCCCATGAGAGGGTGGGAAATAAATATAACTAAATTAAAGGATCTTCTACCTCAGTGAAATTTCTAGGGAACAAGTGATGTGGGACATGTAATAATTCATCCAAGATGAAGGATAAATTGTTGCATCTGGCTCCTCCTACATCCAAAAAAAGGGGCACAATATCTAGTGAATGTAGTTAGATTTTGGAGGCAGCATATTTCACATTTGGGTATGTTACAAAGAGTGACCTAAAAATATGCTAGTTTTAAATGGTCCTCAAAATAAGAAAAACCTCTGCAAGAGGCAGGCTGCTGTGCAAGCTGCTCTGCCACATGGGCCATATGATCCAGCAGATCTCAAGGTGCTTGAAGTTTCAGTGGCAGATAGGGATGTTCTTTGGAGGCTCTAGCAAGCCCCTATAGGTGAACAACAGAACAGGTCTTCAGGATCTTAGAGACTAGCCCTGTCATTATATGAGGATATCTATTCTCCCTCTGAGATACAGCCCTTGGCCTACTATGGGGCCTTTATAGAACTAAATGCTTGAACATAGGTCACCAAGTTACCATGTGAACTGAGCTACTTATCTTGAACTTGGCATCACATAATCAATCCAGCCATAAAATCTGGCATGTACAAAAGCACTACATCATCAAGTAGAAGTGGCATATGCATACTTAGGCCCAAGCAGGCACAAGTATGTTACATGAAGTGGCCTAAAACAAAATTGACAAAATAAAGGGAATGTATACTTTCGGATTTCCTCAGAGGCTACATTTCCCCAATTAAAACAAAAAAATTGTTCAAATGCCCATGGCTTCCACTCCTACTACACTGTCATCTCTCTCCCAGCCTGCACCTATGGCCTCATGGGAATTTTCTATGATCAATTGACAGAGTAAGAGAAAAATTGAGCTTGATTTATAAATGGTTCTGCACCAAACTCAAGGCACTACCTGAGAGTGGGCAGCTGAAGCACCGCAGCCTCTCTCTAGGACATCCCTGATAGATAGTGATGAAGGTAAGTCCTTCCAATATAAATAATTTTGGGCACTGAACCTGGTTATGTGCTTTGCTTGGAAAGAGAAAAGACTAGATGAGCAATTATATACCAACTTCTGGGCTGTCATCAATGATTTGGTTGGATGGTCAGAGATTTGAAAGGGCATGATTTGCCAATTGGTAACAAAGAAATTTTGGGATGAGGGATGTGGATAGACCACTCTGAATGGGAAAAAAAAGTGAAGATATTTGTGTCCTATGTGAATGCTCAAAAAAGAGTGGCCACATCAGAGGAGGATTTTAATAGTTAAGTGGATAGAATTATCTTTTCTGCGGAATCCAGTCATCCTATATCTCCAGCCACTTCTGTCATTGCATAATGGACTCATGAATAACGTGGCCATGGTAATAGGAGTAGAAGTTATGAATGTGCTCAGCAACGTGGACTTTCACCTCGCAAGGCCGACTGGGCTATAGCCACCACTGAGTGCCCAATATGTGAGTAGCAGAGAGCAACACTCTGTCCCCAGTATGGCACCACTTTCCAGGGTGATCATCCAGCTACTTGTTGGCAAGTTGGTTACATTAGATCACTTCTATCATAAGAGAGACATTGTTTTATCCTTATTAGAATAGACACTGACTCTTACCTTTCCTGCATGAAATGCTTCTGTTAAAACTATCATCCATGGACTTACAGTATGCCTTATCCACCGTCATAGTATTATACACTGCGTTGCTTTTAAACAAGGAAATCACTTCACGGCTAAAAAAGTGTGGCAATGGGCAGATACTTATGGAATTCACTGGTCTTACCATGTTCCACACTATCCTAAAGCAGCTGCCTTGATAGAATGCGGAATTGCCTTTTGAAGACTCTGTTACAGCACCAGGTAGGTGAAAATACCTTATAGGAGTGGGGCAGGGTTTTCCAGATTGCCGTATGTGCTTTGAATCAGCATCCAACATATAGTACTGTTCCTCCTATAGCTAGGATTAATAGGTCCAGGAATTAAGGGATAAAAATGGGAGTGGCACCACTCACTATTATCCCTTGTGACACACTAGCAAAATTTTTCTTCCTGATCCCAGGGCTTTATACTCTGCTGGCCTAGAGTATAACAATAATTTTATTGAACTATAAAAAGTTAAGACTCCCACCTAGCTAATTTGGGCTCCTTATGTCTTAGAGTAAATAGTTCAAGAAAAGAGTTACAGAATTGGCAGAGATGATTGATACGGACTACCAATGGAAAATTAGACTACCACTCTACAATGGAAGTAAATAAGAGTATGTCCGGAATACAAGAGCTCATTTAGGTCTTGTCTTAATATTACCATGCCTTGTGATTAATGTCAATGGCGAGCTCTAACAACCCAATTCAGGGAAGACAAATAAAGGTCCAGACCTTTCAGGAATAAAAGTTGTGATTACCACACCAGTTAAAGAAAGAACTATAAGCAGCTAAGGATCTTCCTGAAGGCAAATGTACACAGAATGAGTGGGAGAAGGTAATGATAAATACTAGCTATGATGACATGACTAGTTACAGAACAGAAAACTGTAACTGTCATGAGTATTTCCTTCTTATGTTATAAATACATGTGTATTTATATACATGTATTAATTATCTATCTTTGTTTTCTTTCTTCTCTTATTTCCTTATCATGTAACATAAGATGCATTATTTTAAATCTGTTTTTAAGAAGTTTTAGTTTTACATCATATTAAGTTACAGGGCATCAGGTGAAGACTGAACATCACTTAAAGACTACTTTTTCTGAAGACGGTAGTAGTGTATTTTCAATTGTATACAGGTTAGTTATATCATATTAGGCAGAATCATTAGCTTCTCCTTGTCTTTATTTGTAGATTATCGTTTAAGGAGATGCATATGAGTAGCAAGTTCAAAAGGGATGGTCTGGTGATGGTTAAGTGTAGGTGTCAACTTGACTGGACAAAGGGATGCCCAAAAGCTGATAAAACATTTTTTCTCTGTGTTTCTCAAAATGATTAGCATTGAATCAGGAGACTAAGTAAAAATGGTCCACCTTCACCAGTGTGGGCAGGCATTATGCCATCTGTTGAAGGCCCAGATATAACAAAAACTCAGAGCAAATTTCATCTTCTCTTTTCTTGACCTGTGACATCCACCTTCTTCCCTTAGACATCAGAGGTGCTGATTCCTCAGCCTGCAGACTCTAAGACTTATGCTAGTACAACCCTACCCCCAGTTCTCAGGCCTTTGGCCTCAGATTGGATGACACCATTGTCACTCTTGCTCCTCAGGCCATTGGGATTGAATTACACCAATGGCTTTCCTGGTTCTCCAGCTGGCAGACAGCATGTTATGAAACATTTTGGCCTCTATAATTATGTGAGCCAATTCCTATGATAAATTTTCTCTTCTCTCTCTCTCTCTCTCTCTGCATATTGGTTCTATTTCTCTGGATATTTCTGACTAATACATCTTTGTTGAGGAGAATATAATACTCAGGCATATTTCAAAATGATTACTTTTCCCTCTTTCTGTTAGAAGCATAAGGGGATTTTTATCTTATCTTCACAATCTCTTATCATTTTGTAACAGCCACTCTAACAGGTCTGAGATCATATTCCATTAGGGTTTTAAGTGCATTTTCCTAATGAGTAGTGTTGTGGAGCCTCTTTATTATATCTCTGTTAGCCATTTGTATATTTTTTTGGAAAAAAATGTCTATACAAGGCTTTTGTCTACTTTTTAATATTTATTTTTTATTTTTTCTATTGAATTGCTATTAATTTGTTTTGAAAAAAGTACATACACACGTGAATGATTTGTATATTTCACATATTAGCTCTTTGTCATATATACTGTTTGCAAACATTTTCTCCTATTCTGTAGGTTGCCTTTTCATTCTTTTTATTATTTCTTTTCCTGTCTAGAAGCTTTTAGTTTGATGCAATCCCAACTACTTTTGCTTCCATTGCCTATGGTTTTTGTGTCATATTCAAGAAAACATCACAAAGACAATGTCAAGAAGCTATTTTCATATGTGTTCTAAGAAATTTATGTCAAGTCTTACATTTAAGTCTTCAATCAATTTTGTGTAAATGTTTGTATATGGTGTAAGAATTCAATTTCATTGTTTTCATATGGATGTCCAGTTTTCCTGATACTATTTGTAGACAAGATTCTCTTCTACCCATTATGTATTCTTGGAAACTATGCTAAAGATCAGTTAGTCATATATTCATGAATTTATTTCTGAGCTCTACATTTTGTTCCACTGGGCTATATGTCTGTTTTTACACCTGTACTATACTGTTTTGATTACTGTAGCTCTGCAGTATAATTTGAAATCAGAATGTATGATACCTCCAGCTTTGTTCTTCTCAAGATTGTTTTGGCTCTTTGTGGTCTCTTGTGGTTTCATATAAACTTTTGATTTTTTTCTATTTTTATAAAATGTCATTGAGATTTTCATAAGGATAGCATTGTATCTGTAGATTGTTTTGGGCAGTATGGGCATTTTAACAGTATTATGTGTTTCAATCCATGAACACAAAATGTCTTTCCATTTATTTATATCATTTTTAATTTCTGTAATCAATGGCTTGTAGTTTTCATTGTACAATATTTTTATCTCTTTGATTGAAACTATTAATAAATACTGTATTCTTTTTGATGCCATTGTAAACGAGATTGTTTTCTAAATTTTCTTTCTGAATAGTTTACTGCTAGTATATATAAACACAACTGATTTTTGTATGTTAATTTTGAATCCTGAAACTTTACTAAATTTCTTTGTTTTAACAGTTTTTTTTTGGTGGAGATTTTAAGGATTTTCTACATATAAGATATCATTTGCATACAGAGATAATTTTAGTTCTTCTTTTGCAATATGGATTTTTTTTTGTATCTTATTGTTCTGGCTAGGATTTCCAGTATTATGTTAAATAAAAGTGGGAAGAGTGGTCATCCTCTACTTTGTCCTCATCTGAGAAGAAACATTTTCAGCTTCTTTTCATTACCTATGATATTAGCTGTGGGCTTCTCATTTATGCCCTTTATTATGTTGTGATACATTTCTTCTATACCTAATTTGTTGAAAGATTGTATTATAAAAAGTGTTGACTTTTGTCAAATATTATTCCTGCATCTGTGGATATAATCATATGACTATATTCTTCATTGTGAAAATGTGATTTATCATATTGATTGTGTATACTGAAACATTCTTTCAACTTAAGGACAAATCTTACTTGGTAAGTGTGTACAATTCTTTTAATGTGATATTGAACTTGGTTTGCTAGTATTTTTTTTGATGATTTTGCATATATATTCATCAGTGACATTGACTTGTATTTTTTTTTCTTGTGGTGTTTTTGTCTGACATTTATATCAAGGGAATCCTGAACTTGTAAAATGAGTTTGGAAGCATTCCTCCCTCTTCCATTTTTTGTTAGAGTTTGAGAAGGACTGGTGTTAATTATTGTTTAAATGTTTGCTAGAATTCACCTATGAAGCTCTCTGGCCCTTGTATTTTCCTTGTTGAGAGGTTTTTGATTAGTAACTCAATTTTCTTAAAAGCCATAGGTCTGCTCAGGTTTTCTATTTATTCATGATTCAGTCTTGGTAGGTTATATGCTTCTTGGAATTTATCTGTTTCCTCTAGACAATCCAATTCGTTGGTATGTAATTCCTTATAGTAGTCTCTCATAATCCTTTTTATTTCTGTGGCATCAGTGGCAATGTATCCTGTTTCATTTCTTATTGTAAGAGTACAGTTGAATTGTGGAGGAGGGAAAAGGCAGGAATGACAAATCTTGAAAAATTATTCTAAGAAATATAGAGAATAAAATGATGAGAATAAAGACTTAAAATACTTTACAGAAATATATTTTGGTTTTATTATAATATCAACATATATAAAACACTTTATAATATTTTATAGTCTGAAAAATAGTATTGAATTTACTATTTTCTAACATTATTAATCCTCCTAAGAAACATGTTATTTGTATTTTTTGCATGGTTTTGGTAATGAAAAATGTGATATTGCCACTCCTCATGTTTCTAGCTGACTTCCACTGACTTTTATTTAGACAAGGATCTTTCAAGTTTTTTTAAAATTTGTCTTTTAGAAAAAAATCTCAAAGGAAGCAAAAATTCAAATAGCATTACAAAACTAGAGAAATAAAATCATTGAGGGTAAATCTATCAAAATTAGAGAATCTTACAGAAGACTTCCTGGAATATATTAAACTGTGTAAAACACCTTTTCTTTTTGTCATCGTGATGGTTAGTATTGAGTGTCAACTTGATCGGATTGAAGGATGCAAAGTATTGTTCCTGGGTGTGTCTGTGAGGGTGTTGGCAAAGGAGATTTACATTTGAGTCAGTGGACTGGGAAAGGCAGACTCACCCTCAAACTGGGTGGGCACCATCTAATCAACTGCCAGTGCAACCAGAATAAAAAGTAGACAGAAGAACGTGAAAAGGCTAGACTGGGTGAGTCTTCTGGGCTCTATCTTTCTCCTGTGCTGGATGCTTCCTGCCCTTGAACATCAGACTCCAAGTTCTTCAGCTTTGGGACTCTTGGACCTTCGACCACAGACTGAAGGCTGTACTGTTGGCTTCCCTAGTTTTGAGGTTTATGGGACTCGGACTGGCTTCCTTGCTCCTCAGCTTGCGGACGGCCTATTGTGGAACTTCACCTTGTGATTGTGTGAGTCAATACTCCTTAATAAACTCCCCTTTATATACACATATATCCTATTAGGTGTGCCCCTCTAGAGAACCCCGACTAATACAATTATACTATGCTTTCTGGAAACATAAGGAGAAATGTGAATATAAGCCATATTTGTTTCATTTTATGATGAACAGAACAAAAAGTTATAACTTAACCTATAATTTACAATTGGAGTGCTAATGGGTGACAACCCATTTTTGAAGGCTTGTAATTGAAATTTATTTATAAATAAATATATTTTTACTTACAATAAATGACATTTCCTAATTTATACCACTTTCTTCTTAACATGTGTTGCAGCATTTAGTAAGTAAGAGTTACTATTGACATTGCTGCTTGACACTAATATTTGATCTTCCATTTTAAGACACATGTATCATCCTTATAGAGCCAAGGTACTCATGAGTTCTGGCCAAGATATTCTAGAATAAATGTTTTGTCATCTTCAATGTATACAAAATTTTTAAAAAGAAATATAATTCAATTTATAGTATTTTAAAATAAATGAATAATTTTTGTATAAGGCTAAAATGCTAATTAAGAACACATTTATATATCAAATACTGGAATAACTACCAAATATTAATGATTAAGAAATATTTCTTACCTAAAACGTTGTTGACTGAAAACTTCAAAATTAATTGTATCAGGTATTCTGAATTTCATTTATTTTATATTATCACACATCTAGATCATCTATAAGCATTCTGTACCAGATCTCTCCAATTGAATTGAATTGTATATCATTTGTAAAATTAATGCTAAATAATACATACATAAATGATAGATTTGACAGGTAGAATGGAAGAAAATTTATGTTTATTTGTGTTTTCCTCCTCTGGAGTAAATACAAATAGTGAATGAAACTTAGTGAATAAACACCTGAAATAAAATTATTTTTTGAGAGCTTAGATATAAATGATGTGATGCAAATCAAAGTTTCATCCCTTTATCTACCTCTCAGCATATATTGGAAGTGAGTAAGATGAAGAGATTGTTATGTATCTCTGAAAGGAAATATCAAATGTGTGAATTATTAAATATGAGCATGATATACCTCTCATTAAATATTTTCTAAACCTTCTCTTGCTAGCACTTCGTTTTTTTGAAACCCTGTAATATTTTATTAGAATTTTACAGTTTTAACCACATAATGCCTGCTTTTTTGGTTGTTTAAGAACATGTCTTATCTGTATTTCAGGAATGAAAACTTACTTAAAGCAAGGGTCAAGTCTCACACACACTTTTATCTCCAATTTAGCACTTGAATTTTTATAGCATTCTGAAGAAACTATTATTGTTGCACCAAATTATCTTTTTGATTATTGTAGTTTTATTGTCTTTTGGGTTCTATATTCTATCATCAGGCTTAAAGAAAAAGAGGGACTATTTCACTTTCACTCTACTGCCCCCAAAAGAGGGTAAAAACAAAGGAAGAGGAGGGGCCAACATAGAAAAACTGTGAAAAAAATAAAGATAAATAAAAATTATATTATTGAGAAATTCTAATATGATATTTAAGCAAAGCTATTTAAAACAGGAGATACAAAAGTGTAGATACTGTATGATTACATTTTTATGAAACTCTAGTGAAGGCATAACTTAACTATAGAGACAAAAACCAGTTCAGGGTTTACATAAAGGATGCGTATAAACCTAAGTGAATATTTTGGGGTGATACAAATTTTATCTGGTGATTACACAGTGCATATATTTAAAGTGTATATGGTGATTACACAGTGCATATATTTAAAGTGGGTGCATTTTATTGTAGTAAAATTGCACCTCAATGCATATTATTTTTTTAAATTGAACAGTCTAAAAATAGTCCTAATAAAGTCATAATATTCAGAAACAGAAATCTTAGTAAGTATAAAGAAAAATATGGAGGTGCAGACAGGACTGGAGAGTTGAAAAAGAGGTAGTAGAAATTATAAACCAATACTTTTCTAATCTTTAATAAAATAAAATGAAAATGTATCAAACAATGGAAAACAGAAGAAAATAATTAGCAAAATCAAACCAGAATGTTAAAAAAAAAATGCATGGGAAATGGCTGATGTGGCAAATTTAAGAGCGATTTTTAAAGCAAAGTAGTAAATTAAACGGATAGTTGCTTATCTGTTTTGGCTCAAGCACAATAAAAGTCCAGTGTTGTAATCATTATTTCAATAGACCCTCAAAAGACAATCAATAAAATTAAAGTGGTCAAATTTTATCCCTATCAAATCCAAAATAATCAACGGAAGTACAAGAGCAGATAGATTGCATAACAGAACAGAATAAAATACTAAGAATATTGACATGAGAAAAGACAATAATTTGGTAGTAATTATATAGTCCTGAGAAAAAATAAAATATAATCTTAATCCATTTCTAACACCAAAAGTAAATGCCAAATATATACAAGATTGAGCTATTAAAATATAATTAGAGAAGTAACAGCTCTTGCAATGCTAGGATTAGCAACCTTTAAAAGTATGACATGAAAGCAAAATATGTTAGTAAAAAGTTATAGGTTTGAATATATTAAAAATATAATAAACTTTGATGATATACCAAACAACACAAGTAAAATGGAAATCAAACTGCAAAATGGAGGAAAAAATTTCCAACATTTTGATGGGAAGTTAGTATCTTGAACCACAAGGAATATGTATAAATCAGTAAGCAAAAAGGGGCCTAACATTTCAGTACAAAAATTGGCAAAAAGGCAAAAAATACATTGAAGAACGTTTTTATTTTCAAGATGGCTGTCTGGGGATGTTTGATGCCAGTTATCCTCAGAAAGAAATGAGAGGTGACAGCGTGCTGGCAGTCCTCAGAGCTCTCGCTTGCTCTCGGCACCTCCCCTGCCTGGGCTCCCACTTTGTGGCATTTGAGGAGCCCTTCAGCCCCCCACTGCACTGTGAGAGCCCCTTTCTGGGCTGGCCAAGGCCAGAGCCCACTCCCTCAGCTTGCAGGGAGGTGTGGAGGGAGAGGCACGAGTGGGAACCGGGGCTGCATGCGGTGCTTGCGGGCCAG
The DNA here is from genome assembly GCF_000001405.40 of Homo sapiens. Classification (NCBI taxonomy): domain Eukaryota; kingdom Metazoa; phylum Chordata; class Mammalia; order Primates; family Hominidae; genus Homo; species Homo sapiens. Next base: position 89,331,363 of record NC_000023.11, on the reverse strand, counting down.
CTGGAGTTCCGGGTGGGCGTGGGCTTGGTGGGCCCCGCACTCAGAGCAGCCAGCCAGCCCTGCTGGCCCCGGGCAATGGAGGACTTAGCACCTGGGCCAGTGGCTGTGGAGGGTGTACTGAGTCCCCCAGCAGTGCTGGCCCACCAGTGCTGCGCTCGATTTCTCGCCGGGCCTTAGCTGCCTTCCCGCGAGGCAGGGCTCGGGACCTGCAGCCCACCATGCCTGAGCCTCCCACCCACTCCATGGGCTCCTGTGCGGCCTGAGCCTCCCTGACGAGCGCCACCCCCTGCTCCACGGCACCCAGTCCCATCGACCACCCAAGGGCTGAGGAATGCGAGTGCATGGCGCAGGAGTGGCAGGCATCTCCACCTGCAGCCCCAGTGTGGGATCCACTAGGTGAAACCAGCTGGGCTCCTGAGTCTAGTGGGGACCTGGAGAGTCTTTATATCTAGCTCAGGGATTGTAAATACACCAATCAGCACCCTGTGTTTAGCTCAAGGTTTGTGAGTGCACCAATCGACACTGTATCTAGCTGCTCTGGTGAGGACATGGAGAGTCTTTATGTCTAGCTCAAGGATTATAAATACACCAATCAGCACTCTGTATCTAGCTCAAGGTTTGTAAACACACCAATCAGCACCCTGTGTTTAGCTCAAGGTTTGTGAATGCACCAATCGACACTCTGTATCTAACTGCTCTGGTGGGGCCTTGGAGAATCTGTGTGTGGAAACTCTGTAGCTAAGTAATCTGATGGAGACATGGAGAACCTTTGTATCTAGCTCAGGGATTGTAAACGCACCAATCAGTGCCCTGACAAAACAGGCCACTGGGCTCTACCAATCAGCAGGATGTAGGTGGGACCAGATAAGAGAATAAAAGCAGGCTGCCCGAGCCAGCATTGGCAACACGCTCGCGTCCCCTTCCACACTGTAGAAGCTTTGTTCTTTTGCTCTTTGCAATAAATCTTGCTACTGCTCACTCTTTGGGTCCACGCTGCTTTTATGAGCTGTAACACTCACTGCGAAGATCTGCAGCTTCACTCCTGAGTCCAGCGAGACCACGAGCCCACCGGGAGGAATGAACAACTCCAGAGGCACTGCCTTAAGAGCTGCAACACTCACTGGGAAGGTCTGCAGCTTCACTCCTGAGCCAGTGAGACCACGAACCCACCAGAAAGAAGAAACTCCGAACACATCTGAACATCAGAAGGGACAGACTCCAGACGCGCCACCTTAAGAGCTGTAACAGTCACCGTGAGCGTCTGCGGCTTCATTCTTGAAGTCAGTGAGACCAAGAACCCACCAATTCCGGACACAGAAGGAACAAAATTACAGGTGAATAATGATAACTCAAATAGAATATGAAGGGAAGAGTGCTGGATCCTAGTGGAGAACTCATGGGAAGAAGCTAAGGCACAGAAAAACAAAGAAGGAAGAGACTGGCAGAGATCAGCTAGAAACCATAAGAGACTCGGTATTTCATTGAAAGTATAGGTGGAGATGTTTTTGACTCTTCTCAAACCTGTGGCAGGCTGCAGGTATCCAAACTGACAGAGGGCTCCTCTGATTTCATGAATTCAATCACTGGTGTGGACAGTGGTTTGGGAATTTCTGGAAGGCATTACACCAGACTACCCACTTGCACCAGGTTTCTCATCCTATCCCAGGTTCCAAGCTGCAGTGGCAGGGTGCCATACGGGGGGTGCAGCCATTGAGGAACTATGTCAGAACCAGGAAGCCTCAGTTCTCTCAACTCTTTTGTCTACACATTGCCAGAGCCCCTGCAGATATTACCCAGCACTCACTCAGATTGTGGCAGCCACATGAGAGTGACTGGACCCAGAGGAGCTGCAGGGTTTTAGACGACAGGGACTGTTGCTCCTAAGCAAAGGGAGAAAGCAGTGCACCAAGGAAGCACCCACTGGGACAAAAGAAAGCAGAGAAGCCATTTTCCTGTGCTCAAATTCTTCCCCCTTCTGGGCTGAGAGTGACTGCACCACTTCCAGTGGGGACGTGGGCACTGTGCTTAGCTCTACAAGAAAGGAGTGTGGTTCCATCTCAGTGACCCAGTGACCTCAGTGCTTGGGCTAAGGTGTGGAGAGGAAGGCTTCTCCACCTTGCTCACTGTGGCAGACACGGCCATGTTTGCTACCCAGAGGAAAGTGGCATGGGCATGCCAGAATATGGCCATTCTAGGGCTATTGGAGTGACTGCACCCCCACTGATAGTATTCCCACTGAGCATTGGCTTGCACAAAAGGTGGGGCACCTGCCCCTCTCTGCATGGAGCAGCAGCATTCTTTCTCACAGTGGGGAGCAGGAGACCCACAAAGCTGTGTGTTTTGGGCTAAGGAAGAAGGTCCTATACAAAATATGTCCCAACAATGAGTCAAGGGTCAGGTGTCTTTCATGGCTTTTGGCAACATTGCAGCCTGGAGATAGACGGTGGTGTATGCCCATTCTGAGTGTCTCAAGCACTGGGACATGGTTGTGACAAGGAAGCAGATCACATTCACACCTGCCAAGGCCATGGATCTAGAATAGTCATCTCCCTCTCTGTGTGGTGGCCTTGGTGCATTACACCAGGCACTGTCCTTGGTGCTCACATCAGGGCTGGTACTTGTGCCCACCATTGGTGTATCCAAGAGTGGGCATGACAGAAAAGGTCCACCCACCTTTGCCCCCCTAGAGGGCCTGAGTAGGAAGCTTTGGCCACTGTGCATTCCACAGACTGTCCCATTGCCTGAGGCTACATAGAGCTTCTCTCAATAAACAATAATCAAGCATATAACCTTCTGTGTCTGTTGCAGCTGGCTCTTACCCATAAACACCACCTACTTGCCTGGAGATTGAACTGCACAACCCAATACAAAATCTGTTGACACAAATGCACAGTGATGGGGAATGAGATGATCTTCCTGAGACCTTCAACAATTTGGCTATGCAGGAGGCAGTGAGCATGTTCACAAACCCAACACAATTCTACTAAAACCAGAATTTGAAGAAGCTAACACACAAAGGCTATCTATAACCAAGAACCTCATCCAGAGTCTTTCCTTCTGAAATAACCCCGAAGCCAAACTACCCTACACACATATATAGTAGCCGCATCCTCAAGGAGAAAAACAAATCATGTTCAAATGCAAATAAATTCAAACATAATAATAAGAGATATTTTATCCAGAAGAAAATTAATCAGAGAAACATTCTGGAAGTATACAAAAAATAAAGTGTTGCAACACCCTCAAAGAATCAGACCTTTATATGAATGGATACTAAACAAAATGAAACTTTGAAATAACAGATAAATAATTCAAAATACTGATTTTAAAGAAATTCCAGCAGATACAAAAACAGTTGGAAACCAACAAAATAAAATAAAAAAAAAAAATTCAGATATATCGGGGGAACCCATCTCCAATATTTCAACATAAGTTCTTTTTATTTTCCCTAAGTGAAGTGTTGGCCAGTCTGAGAAATAAAGAGTAAGAGTACAAAAAGAGGAATTTTACAGCTGGGCCGCTGGGGGTGACATCACATATCGGTAGGCCTGTGATGCCCACCCGAGCTGCAAAACCACCAGGTTTTTATTGAGGATTTCAAATGGGGAGGGGGTTCAAGAACAGGGAGTAGGTCACAAAGATCACATGCTTCAAAGGGCAAAAAGATCACAAGGCAAAGGGGAAAGCAAAGATCACAAGGCAAAGGGCAAAATTAGAATTACTGATGAGGGTCTATGTTCAGCTGTGCACATTATTGTCTTGATAAACATCTTAAACAACAGAAGACAGAGCTCGAGAGCAGAGAACTGGTCTGACCTCAAATTCACCAGGGTGGGGATTTTCCCCACCCTAGTGAGCCTGAGGTTACTGCAGGAGACCAGGGCATATTTCAGTCCTTATCTCAACTGCATAAGACAGACACTCCCAGAGCAGCCATTTATAGACCTCCCCCCAGGAATGCATTCCTTCCCCAGGGTATTAATTATTAATATTCCTTGCTGGAAAAAGAATTGAGTGATATATCTCCTACTCCCATGTCCATTTATAGGCTCTCTGCAAGAAGAAAAATATGACTGTATTCTGCCCGACCCCGCAGGCAGTCAGACCTTATGGTTGTCTTCCCTTGTTCCCTGAAAATTGCTGTAATTCTGTTCTTTTTCAAGGTGCACTGATTTCATATTGTTCAAACACACATGTTTTACAATCAATTTGTACAATAGTGGTCCTGAGGTGACATACATTCTCAGGTTACAAAGATAACAGGATTAAGAGATTAAAGTAAAGACAGGCATAAGAAATTATAAGAGTATTATTTGGGAACTGATAAATGTCCATGAAATCTTCACAATTTATGTTCAGAGATTGCAGTAAAGGCAGGCATAAGAAATTATAAAAGTATTAATTTTGGGAACTGATAAATGTCCATGAAATCTTCACAATTTATGTTCCTCTGCTGTGGCTCTAGCCGGTCCCTCCATTCGGGGTCCCTGACTTCCTGCAATACAGATACAAAGGAAAAATTTACCAAAGAGCTAGATATTAAAAGACAAACAACCACAATTTCTGGACATAAAAAAAAATTTAACTAGGAATTACATAATCTGATTGAAAACTTTAAAATACACTAGGTCAAGAAGAAAGAATCTTAAGGCTTGAAGATGGGTTTTTCAAAATAACCCAATCAGACAAAAAAGAAAAAAAAAGAATAATAAAAATGTAAATAAAACCTTCAAGAGGTGTGGGAATTATGTAAAACATTCAAATCTACAAGTCATAGAAATTCCTGAGTAAGAAGTAAAGTGTTTAGAAAACCTATTTGAGGAAGTAATTGAGGCAAACATTCTCATCTTGCTAGTTATTTAGACATCCAGATACAAGCGGTACAGAGAACTCAAAGAGGATACATTGCAAGACAGACTTCACCAAAACATATAGTCGTCAGACTATCTAAAGTTAACATGCAGGAAAAAATACTAAATTTACCAAAGGAGAAGCATCTAATCACCTATAAAGGAAATTCAATCAGACTAACAGCAAACTTTGCAGTAGAAACCTTACAAACCAGAAGAGATTTGGGTTCTATTTTCATACTTCTTAAAAAAAACACTGGCAACCACATATTTTGTATCCTGCTAAACTAAGCTTTGTAAATGAAAAAGAAACGGTGTTTTCCAGACAAAAAGAAATTCTGAGAATTTGTCACCACTAGACCAGATCTATAAGAAATGCTGAAGGGAGCTCTAAACGCTAAAACAAAATGTCAACACTTACTATGTTAGTCTGTTTGTGTCACTATAAAGAAATAACTGAAGCCGAGTAATTTACAAAGAAAAAAGGCTTATTTTGTTCATGGTGATTTGGAATATTCAAGCATGGCACCAATATCTTCTCAGCTTCTAGTGAATCCTCAGGAAGATTTTACCCAGGGAAAAGGTAAAGAGGAAGGAGGTGTGTCACATGGCAAGAGTGAGAACAAAGAGAGAGAAGAAGGTTCTAAGCTCTTTTAAATAATCATCTTTCATGTAAACTAATAGAGTGAGAACTCATTCACTGCTGTGAGGACAGCATTAAGTCATTTATGAGAAGTCCGCCACTATGAATCAAACAGTTCCCACTTGGCCCTGCTTCCAAAATTGGGTATCACGTTTCAACATGAAAGTGACACACATCCAAACAATATTATTTGCCATCATAAAAGACTCAGAAGCATAAAGCTTATAGTTCTTATAAACAATTACAATTGAGGCTACAAGTCAACTAGGTAACAACATTACAAAAGGAAAAAAAGCTTATATATCAATATTAACTTTTAATGTAAATGGATTAAATGTTCCACTTAAAAGATATGGATCAGCAGAATAGAGAGAAAAAAAAACAGGATGGAACCATATGCTGCTTATAAAAGATTCAACTAACTGAAAAATATACTGACACATTAAAAGTAAAGTGCTTTAAAAAGACATTCCATGCCAAAACAAGTTAGCAGGAGTAGCAATACTTATATCAGGCAAAACAGACTTTTAATAAACAGCAGTGAAAAAACCCAAAGAAGACAATCAAATGATAAAGGGATCAATTTACCAAGAAGATATAACAATCCTAAATTGACATATATCTTAACCAACACCACCCAGATTAATAAAACAAATTATTTTTTTTTCCTTTTTTTTTTTTTTATACTTTAAGTTCTGGGATACATGTGCAGAACATGCAGGTTTGTTACATAGGTATACATATGCCATAGTGGTTTGCTGCACCCATCAACCTGTCATCTACATTAGGTATTTCTCCTAATGCTATCCCTCCCCTTGCCCCCCAACCCCCAACATGCCCCAGTGTGTGATGTTCGCCTCCCTGTGCCCATATGTTCTCATTATTCAACTCCCACTTATGAGTGAGAACATGTGGTGTTTGGTTTTCTGTTCCTGTGTTAGCCTGCTGAGAATGATGGTTTCCAGCTTCATCCATGTCCCTGCAAAGAACATGAATTCATCCTTTTTTATGGCTTTATAGTATTCCATGGTGTATATGTGCCACATTTTCTTTATCCAGTCTAACATTGATGGGTATTTGTGTTGGTTCCAAGTCTTTGCTCTTTTGAATAATGCTGCAATAAACATACGTGTGTATGTGTCTTTATAGTAGAATGATTTCAAATCTTTTGGGTATATACCCAGTAATGGGATTGCTGGGTCAAATGGTATTTCTGGTTCTAGATCCTTGAGGAATCACCACACTGTCTCCTACAATGGTTGAACTAATTTACACTCCCACCAATAGTGTAAAAGTGTTCCTATTTCTCCACATCCTCTCCAGCATCTGTTGTTTCCTGACTTTTTAATGATCACCATTCTAACTGGTGTGAGATGGTATCTCATTGTGGTTGTGGTTTTGATTTGCATTTCTCTAATGACCAGTGATGATGAGCTTTTTTTTTTCATATGTATGTTGGCTGCATAAATGTCTTCTTTTGAGAAGTGTCTGTTCATAGCTTTCTCCCACTTTTTGATGGGGTTGTTTGTTTTTTTCTTGTAAGTTTAAGTTCATTGTAGATTTTGGATATTAGCCCTTTGTCAGATGGATAGATTACAAAAATTTTCTCTCATTTTGTAGGTTGCATGTTCATCCTGATGAGCGTTTCTTTTGCTGTGCAGAAGCTGTTTAGTTTAATTAGATCCCATTTGTCAATTTTGGCTTTTGTTGCCATTGCTTTTGGTGTTTTAGTCATGAAGTCTTTGCCTATGCCTATGTCCTGAATGGTACTGCCTAGGTTTTCTTCTAGGGTTTTTATGGTTTTAAGTCTTACATTTAAGTCTTTAATCATCTGGAGTTAATTTTTTAACTATTAAGTTCACGGTTAAATGTGCAGATTTCTTATATAGGTAAACTTATGCCATTGAGATTTGTTGTACAGATTATTTCATCACCCAGGTATTAAGCCTAGTACCCATGAGATATCTTTCCTAATCCACTTTTTGCTCCCAACCTTCACCTTCTGATAGGACCCAGTGTCTGTTGTTCCCCTCTATGTGTTTATGTGTTCTCATCATTTAGCTCCCACTTATAAGTGAGAACATGCAGTATTTGGTTTTCTGTTCCTGTGTTAGTTTGCTATGGATAATGATCTCCAGCTCCATTCATGTTCCTGCAAAGGACATGATCTCATTCTATTTATGGCTGCATAGTATTTCATGGTGTATATGTACCACATTTTCTCTATTCGGTCTACAATTGATGAGCTTTTAGGTTGATTTTATGTTTAGTTCTGTGAAGAATGTCATTGGTAATTTAATAGGAATAGCATTGAATCTATAAATTGCTTTGAGCAGTAAGGCCATTTTTAAAGATAATGATTCTTTGTATCCATGAGCATGGGATGTTTTTCCATTTGTTTGTGTAATGTCTGATTTCTTTGAGCAGTGCTTGGTAGCTCTCCTTGTAGATGTTTTTCACTTTTCTGGTTAGCTCTACTCTCAGGTATTTTATTATTATTATGACAATTGTAAACAAGATTCTGTTCTTGATTTGGATCTCAGCTTGACTGTTGTTGGTGTAAAGAAATGCTAGTGACTTTTGTACGTTGATTTTGTGTCCTGAAACTTTGCTGAAGTTGTTTTCCAGATTAAAAAACTTTTGGGTGAAAACTTTGGGGTTTTCTAGATATAGGATCATATCATCTTCAAACAGGGATAGGTTGATTTCCTCTCTTCCTATTTGAATGCCTTGATTTCATTTTCTTGCCTGATTCCTCTGTCCAGACCTCCAATACATATTGAATAAGAGTGCTGAGATAGGGCATCCTTTTCTTTTGCCAGTTTCCAAGGGGAATGCTTTCAGCTTTTGCTCATTCGGTATGATATTGGCTGTGGGCTTGTCATAGATGGCTCTTATGATTTTAAGGTATATTCCTTCAATACCTAATTTCTTGAGAGTTTTTAACATAAAGGAACATAGAATTTTATTGAAAGTCTTTTCTGCATCTATTGAGATAATCATGTGGTTTTTGTCTTTAGTTCTGTTTATGTGATGAATCACATTTTTTGATTTGCATATGTTGAACCAACCTTGCACCCCAGGGATAAAGCCTAGCTGATTCTGATGGATAAGATGTTTTTGTGCTGCTGGAATTGGTTTGCTAGTATTTTGTTAAACATTTTTGTATCTATGTTCATCAAAGATATTGACCTGAAGTTTTATTTTCTTGTTGTGTCTCTGTCAGTTTTGGTATTGGGGTGTTGCTGACGTCATAGAATTAGTTAAGGAGGAATTCCTCCTCCTTAATTTTGTGGAATAGTTTCAGTAGGAATGGTACCAGCTCTGTACATCTGGTAGAATTCAGCTGTGAATCTATCTGGTCCTGTTGTTTTTTGGTTAGTAAGCTATTTATTACTGCCTTAATTTCAGAACTCATTATTGGTCTATTCAGAGATTCAGTTTCTTCCTGGCTTTGCCTTGGGAGGGTATATGTGTCCAGGAATTTATCAATTTATTCTAGATTTTCTAGTTCATGTGCATAGAGGTGTTTATAGTATTTTCTGATGGTTGTTTGTATTTCTGTGAGGTCAATGGTGATATCCCCCTTATCATTTCTGATTGTGTTTATTTGATTCTTCTGAGATTTTTTCTATCAGTTTAGCTAGTGGTCTATTTTATTATTCTTTTTCTAAATCAACAGCTCCTAGATTCATTTATTTTTGAATCTCCTTCAGTTTAACTGTTATGTTGGTTATTGCTTGTCTGATAGCTTTTGGGTTGATTTTCACTGGGTTCTTTAGTTCTTTTATTTGTGATGTTAGGTTGTTAAATTGAGATCTTTAAAAGTTTTTGATGTGGGTATTTAGTGCTACAAATTTCCCTCTTTTTTTTTTTTTTTTTTTTTGATGGAGTCTCACTCAGTTGCCCAGGCTGGAGTGCAGTGGCACAATCTTGGCTCACTGTAATCTTCACCTCCCAGGTTCAAGTGTTTCCTCCTGCTCCAGTCTTCAAAGTAGCTGGGATTACAGGTGCCCACCATCATGCCTGGTTATTTTTTTTTTATTTTTAGTAGAGATAGGGTTTTTTCCATGTTGGCCAGGCTTGTCTCGAACTCCTGACCTCAGGAGATCCACCCACCTAGGTCTCCCAAAGTGCTGGGATTACAGGCGTGAGCCACCTTGCCGTGCCAGATTTCTCCCTTAACACTGACTTAGCTGTTTCCTAGAGGTTCTGGTACATTGTATCTTTGTTCTTATTAGTTTCAAAGAACTTCTTGATTTCTGCCTTAATTACATTATTTACCCAAAAGTCATTCAGGAACAAGTTACTCAACTTCCATGTAGTTGTATGGTTTTGAATGAATTTCTTAGTCTTGATTTTCAGTTTGATTGTGCTGTGGCCCAAGAGGGTAGTTATGATATCAGTTATTTTGCATTCATTGAGGAGGGTTTTATGTCCAATTATTTGATTGATTTTAGAGAATGTGCAATGTGGTGATAAAAAAAATGTATACTCCATTGTTTGGGGGTGGAAATTTCTGTAAATGTCTATCAGTTCCATTTGATCAGTGCTGAGTTCAGCTCCTAAATATCTTTGTTAATTTTCTGCCTCCATGATCTGTCTAATGTTATCTGTGGGTTGTTAAAGTTTCTCCCTTTTATTGTGGGGGCAGGAGTCTCAGTCTCTTTAAAGGTCTCTAAGAACTTGCTTTATAAATCTGGGTGTTCTTGTGTTGAGTACATATATATTTAGAATAGTTAGGCCTTCTTGTTGAATTAAACCCTTTATCATTATGTAATGTCCGCTTTTAAAAAAATCATTATAGTTTAAAGTCTGAATGAAACAAATGATAGAACTAAGAGATAAATATTAATACAATAATAGTGGCAGACTTCAATCCCCACTGACAGCACTAGACAGATTATCAAGACAGGAAATCAACACAGAAATACTGAACTTAAATTGGCCTCTAGACCAAATTGACCTAACAGACATTTACAGAATATTCTACCCAACAACCAAAGAATATACAATCTTCTCATCAGCATATGCACCATTTTCCAAAATAAACTATATGTTAGGTTACAAAAGAAGTCTCAATAAATTTTTGAAAATCAAAATTATATCAAGTATCATTTCAGATCATAGAGAAATGAAAGAAGAAATCAATTCCAAGACAAACTCTCAAAACCACACAAATACAGGAAAATTTAAAAACTTGCTCCTGAACAATGTTTGGATAAATAAAGTAAGAGGGAAATTTTAAAAATTGTAACATATAAAAATAGAGAAACACCATATCAAAACCTTGGAGATACAGCAAAAGCAATGCTAAGAGGGAAGTTTGGAGCATTAAATGCTTATATCAAGAAGACAGAATGATCACAAATTAATAACAGCATGTCACACCTCAAGGAACTAAAAAATAAAGTAGAAACCAAATTCAATGCTAGCAGAGGAAAAGGAATAAATAACAAAGTTTACAGCATCACAGCAGAACTAATTGAACTTGAAACCAAAAAACCATACAAAGTATCAGTTAAACTAGTTTATTTTTGAAGCGATAAACAAAATTAATTGAATGCCAGCTAGATTAAAAATAGAGAAGATTAAAAAAAGCACAATTAGAAATGAATAAGAAGATATTACAACTGATACAACAGAAATACAAAATATTATCAGAGGCCGGGTTCGGTGGCTCATGCCCGTAATCCCAGCACTTTTGGAGGCCACGGCGGGCAGATCACCTGAGGTCAGGAATTTGAGACCAGCCTGGCCAATGCGGCAAAACCCTGTCTCTACTAAAAAGACAAAAAATAGCCAGATATCATGGTGGGCACCTGTAATCCCAGCTACTCGAGAGGCTGCGGCAGGAGAATTGCTTGAACCCAGGAGGCAGAAGCAGAGGTGGCAGTGAGCTGAGATCGCGCCATTGTACTCCAGTCTGGGAGACAGAGCATCACTCTATCTCATATATATATATATGTATATACACACACACACACACACACACGTGTATATATATAACATATATACATATATGTATATATATTCATATATACATATATGTATATATACATATATGTATATATATTCATATATACATATATGTATATATACATATATGTATATATATTCATATATACATATATGTATATATACATATATGTATATATATTCATATATATTCGTATATATTCATATATTCGTATATATTCATATATGTATATATATTCATATATATTCATATATGTAAATATATTCATATATATTCATATATGTATATATATTCATATATGTGTATATATTCATATATATTCATATATGTGTATATATTCATATATATTCATATATGTGTATATATTCATATATATTCATATATGTGTATATATTCATATATATTCATATATGTGTATATATTCATATATATTCATATATGTGTATATATATAATATTATAATATATACATATATACATATACGTATATATATTATTAGAAACTACTATGAATATCTCTATAGTCATGAACTAGAAAACTTAAGGAAACAGATAAATTCCTGGAACATATAACCTATCAAGATTGAACCAGGAAGAAATAAAAATTTTCTATAGACCAACAGTGAATAGTGGGATTGAATCAGTACTTTAAAAATCTCCCCACAAAAAAGAAGCCCAGGACCAGATGGATTCACAACCTAATTCTACCAGAATTACAAAGAAGAACTGGTACCCACTGCAATAGTTTCAACAAATTAAGGAGAAATGAATCCTCCCTAACTAATTATATGCAGCTAGTTGCACTCTGATACCAAAGCCAGGCAAAGAAACAATTAAAGAAAACTGCAGACCACTATTCTTGGTGAACATAGATGCAAAAATTCTCGACAATATATGAGTAAACCAAATCCAACAGCTCATCAAAAAAAGTAATGCACCACATTCAAGTGGATTTTATCCTAGAGATGCAAGGGTGGTTCAACATATAGAAATCAATAAATGCAATTCACCACATTAACAGAATTAAGGACAAAAACCATATGATCATCCCAATAGATGAAAAAAATCTTTTTATAAAATTCAGCATTGCTTCATAATAAAAACACTCAACAAACTATGCATAAAGAAACATACCCCAAAATAATAAAAACCATATATAATAAACCCATAGCCAACATCATAGTAAAAGCTGTCAGCTTTTCTTCTTAGAAATGAAAATAGAAAAGGATGCTCACTTGCACCACTCTTATTACAACATAGTACTGGAAGTCCTAGCCAGAGCAATCAGGTAAGAGGAAGAAATAAAAGGCATCCAAATTGAAAAGAGAAAGCCTAATTATTTCCATTTGTTTATCATGTGATCTTATACATAAAAAACCCTAAAGACTCCACCAAAGTACTCCTAGATCTAATAAATGAATTTAATAACATTTCAGGATACATCAAAGTACAAAAATTAGTAGTAGTTCTATACACCAGTACTGATCAAGCTGAGAACCAAATCAAAATGTCAAACCTAATTACAATAACTACAAGAAAAAATAAATACCCAGGTATACATTTAATCGAGGAGATAAAAGATTGCTACAAGGAAAACTATAAGACAGTGATGAAATAAATCCTAAATGACAAAGACAAGCGAAAAAAAAAGCCCATGCTCATGATTTGAAATAATCAATCATTAAAATGACCATACTCCCCAAAGCAATTTACAGATGTAATGCCATTCCTATCAAAATACTTATGTCATTTTTCACAGAATAAGTAAAGATCCAAAAATTCATCAGGAATAAACCCAGAAAAGCTAAAGCAATTCTAAGCAAAAAGAACAAAGCTGGAGGCATGGAGGCATCACATTAACTGACCTCAAATTATATTAAAAGGCTATAGTAACCAAAACCACACGGTACTTGTACAATAATGGACACATAGATCAATGGAACAGAATAAAGAACCCAGAAATAAAGCCACATACCTACAGCCTATAGATCCTCAACAAAGTTGCCAAAAAAAAAAAAAAAAACAGAGCAAGGAAAGAACATCCTATTCAATAAATATTGCTGGGAAAATTGGCTAGCCATATGCAGAATAATGAAACCGGATCTGTAAAACTGGGTCTTTTACTTTTTTGATTGTTTCTTTTGATGTGCAAAAACTTTGTATAAGAAGCTAAAAAAAATAACATAAAAATGAGCTCCAATACATGTTGCAGCAAACTTCTCAGTGGAAACCTTAGGGGCCAGAAAAGAGTGAGTCGACATATTCATTGTGCTGAAGGAGGAAAAACAAACTTTCATGCTAGAATAGCGCATCCAGCAAAAAATACCCTTCAAACATGAAAGATACATAAAGACTTTCCTAGACAAGCAATAGTGGAGGGATTTTGCCAACACTGGACCAGTTCTACCAGAAATGCTAAAGGGAGTTATTTATTCTGAAAGAAAAAAAAAGATCAATAATAAATCATCTCAAGATGTAAAACTCATTAGTAATACTAAGCACACAAATACAGAATATTCTAACGCTGTAACTTTGATGTGCAAACTACTCATATCTTGAGTAGGAAGACTAAAAGAAAAACCTGTCAAAAGTAATAAGTACAATAACTTTATGAGATAGTATAAAAATTATAAATAGAGATAAAATGGCAAGAAGTGGGGGGATGGTGATGCTAAAATATAAAAGTTTTAATTTTTTTTTGCTTTTTAAAATTTTTTTGTGATTCAAATTAAGTTGTCATCAGTTTAAAATATTTGGTTGTAAAATATTATTTGAGAGCCTCATGGTAATCTCAAATCAATACTCTACAACAGATACACAAAAAAGCAAAAAATTAAAACATACTGCTAGAAAATCACTTCACACAAAGAAGAAATATTTATATATTCTGTGAATTTAGTCTATCACTAAATAATTTTGTGATTGACATATGCTGACGTGCATTACTATAGTTTAGTAATTTTAATTGTTGTACAATATTCCACTATATTACTTTACCACAATTTCTTCATCTATTCTATTTTGGTAGATATTTGGGTGTTTGCCAGTTTTTACTTTTGGCTTTTTGTTATATATTTCTTCTTGAGCACCTGTACAAATGCCATCTGAGGCATAAGTAGAAGTAAAATTTTTAGGGCATGTACATATTCAACATTACTAAATAATAAAAAATGTTTTTCAAAAGGTTTATACCAACTTAAACTCTCAACTGAAGCATATGATAATTCTATGTACCGCAGAATAGCAGACAATTAGTGTCTTTGCTTAGTGTTATTCATGTTTGTTCAGTTTTAATGTCTGTTTAATGTTAGTTTCATGTTAGTATCTTTGCTAAAACTTAGTGTTATGGGCTAAATTATGTACCCTTGAAATTTATGAGCTAAATTATGCACTCTTGGGTGTTGAAGTAATAACTCCCAGTACCTCAGAATGTGACTGTATTTGGAGATAGGGTCCTTAATAAGAAAATTCAGATAAAATGAAGTCATATGGGTGAACTGTCATCTAGTATGACTGGTATCCTTATAAGAAGAGGAAATTAGAACACATATAACACAGAGAAGAATGACTATGTAAGGACATAGTGAGAAGACCACCACCTGCAAGCCAGAGAGAGAGGCCTCAGAAGAAACCAAATGTGCCAATAACCTGATCTTGGACTTCTCACTTTCTGAATTGTAAGACAATAAAATTAAGTTTGTCTGAGCCACCTCGTCTGTAGTATTTTTTATGGCAGCCTTAGCAAATTAATACACTTAGTGTTGTCTGAATTTTTTATTTTCATAATTCTAATGAATATGAAATGGTACCTGATTTTAATTTGCATTTTCTTTCTAATATAGTTGAGCATGTTTTCAAATGCTTATTGAACACATATGTCTCTGTTTATGTAGAAATCCCTTTTGTCACTTTTGTATATTGCTTTATTAGTAGATTACTTATCTTTACCTATTGGTTTGTAGTGTTTTCTTAATTATCCCAAAACATATTCTGAAAAGTAAGCCTTTGTCAAATGATATGTATGATAAATATGTTTTCCCTGATGTTTTCCCTGCCATGGAATGCCTTTTCACTTTCTTTATCACTTGCACCTTTTTATCATGTGTAAAATATCTAATCATAGAAATATTATGTTTTTTTCTAAAAGTTTTCAAGTACTATTCTTGTACATTGAAGTACTTAATATATCCATAATTGCATTCTGTGGAGGTATAAAATAGGAATCCAATTATTTTTTTCTATGTAGATAACCACTAATTCCAACATCACATATTAATGGTTTTTATACAGGTGCTGATTAAATTCTGCACTCTCTATTTTCCTGCATTCATTTATTTGCCAGTACAATATGGTCCTATAACTATGGACTTAGAATGAGTCTTAATAATGTCTTGATAGCTGATAGGACAAGTAGAAATAGTCCCTTTACTGTGCTCTTATTGAAGAATATCATTGCTACTCCTGGACCTTTGCTCTCCTAAAAGAGTTAAATAATCTGTAAAATTCCACTAAAAATACTAAAAACCTTGCTCAAATTTTGATTTGAATTGCCCCAAAACACAAATCAATATAATAATAGACTTCTTTGACATATAGTCTATTTTATTCATGAACATAATGTATCTTTTTATTAATTTAGTTCTTTTTAATATTCTCAATATTTTACATTATTTTCTATGTAAATATATTATAGATCTTATAATTTTAAAATATATATGCTATTTTGTTGGTATTAAAGATTGAGGCTTTTAATTTTTTTGTTGTAAAAAATTGCAATTACCTTTAAAAAAATTACACTGTCTCTGTTCATCCTGCCAAACAATTTGTAGGTATTTATCAAAGTCAACGGAGACAATCATAATCTGGAAGTAAGGTCACTTGTAATTATTTTTTTCTAATCTTTATCACTTAAAATTTTCCCACTTTAATTGCTTGGACTGAATATATGTTCTTCTTTACGGGGAATAAAGTATGTGTGGTGAGGGGCATTCTATATTCAATCAAGATTTGGAAATTCTGTGTTAAACAAATGAAAATATTCCAGGCAAATTTTCTAAAGATTATTTCAAAAGATAATTCTTTTAGAAACACTAGATTTTAACCTGCTCTCTCCTCCATCCTTGGAGAGGCATGTTAAAGCTTCTGGGAAGTCATGCAGAAAAATACAAATATTTAACTATGTTTAGCTTATTATTTACCAAACTTACATGACCATGTCATCTTGTCTATGCCTATGGAACCTACTACTATTTCACCCAGTTATGTTGCATTGAACAAATTTGGGAAATGCTCTAAACAGCAAAATACTCATTGAACTTATAAGGTCAGATAATTAATCTCTTTCTACCACAGTAATGAAGGAAAGAATTTCTAATCTATGATGCTGAAAGTCCTTGTGAGCCCTATAGTGCTGTAATATCAGATGTTGGTTCCATATTAACTATAAGGCTGGATGGTCTCTGGAAATGGGGAAAATAAATTAGATATGCTGTTCTGCAGGACCTTGGAAATGTAGGGAGAATTTTGAAAGGCAAGCATTTGAAAATTCCTTTATGATTACTAAACCTGTCTAAAATAATTGATGCTAGGTGGTATGATCACAACTCAGACTTCTGTGATTGCTTCCTATATAACAATAAACAGAAAAACATTCTTCTACATCATCAAATTTACATTTAAAAATCTATATAATGTATTGATCACTTAAGTGGCAAGTTGTGATTAAAATTAAAGCAAATTGTCATTAAAATTTTGCACAACAATTTTTAACTGGCTACCTAATGGTTAGTCAATAAAGTTTAGTGCACATTAGTATGTCTCTAAATTTTGTTTAGCTTTAATTAGCATGTTTCTAAATTTAGGCTTATAGTTTCCAATGTCAAGACACATGGCACTAATCTTTTGGAAAGCTGTAGAATGGTGAAATATAAGACTTTCCAACGCAGAAAAGTAAGAAAATCTTCTGCCTAGTATTAATAATTTTCTATTCAATTCTGGAAATTCTACTTATTACTAGTTACAATATATACTACCCAGGCAGGACCTAAAGCCTAATTTTCTGATATGTTTTGCCTAACTTTTAGATAGCAGCATTCCATATTGGTTAAGAAAAAAAAAAGTTAGACTGTTTTGGCCACTGGGAGAAAAGGTTGGAGTACACATACAATGTAAAATTCTTGTTCAGACAGGAAGACATTGATTTATCCCTGCTACTTTCTATAAGTCCAGCTATGAACTCTGAAATAATGTAAAAACCAGAGAAGAATGATACAAATGGTAAGCAGAAGGAATAATGGTTTGGTACTTAAGGATAAACATAACAAAACTGAATCAAGGACCCAGCCAAAACAAGTGGCCTGGCCTTGGCAGCTTTGGGGTCACAGTAGGCCTAACATGTTCCTCCCTGACAAAGAGACACTGAGGTAAATAGTGGAATCATTCAGAAACTAACATGCTACAACAAGCACCCAAGCCAGGAAATACTACCTGTTGCTCTAAGGCAAGGAGGATTCCACCACAACAAGGGTCTCACCAGAGAAGCCTCTTTCCTCACAAGCTACAGACTCTCTTTCACATCAAGAGATACTAAGGCAGCCTAGCCTGGTGAAATCAGTTTAGTTCTTTCAGGCAACATCAGCAAAGACCACAGGGAGCCATAGTAGCATCAAATCAACCAAACAGATCAAAATAACACTGCAAATATCTGAAAAATAAGCTGTCACTGGAATTACATCCTGCATATGTAAACTAGGGCCTTTATGCTAAATGTGACAGTTGAAATTGAAACAAATAAGAGCCAGGGGCTTTTTACATAATAGACAAAATTTCCAATGTATAATTGAAAAAACCTATTATACCAATAAATAAGAAAATCACATATTTAATGAAAAAAGACAACTGACAACAATATTAAGATGAATCAAATGTTGGAATTATCTGACAAATATTTTGAAATAGCCATAATAAGAATGCTTCAACAATTAATGACAAATTTTCTTTAAACAAGCCAAAACATTAGAAAATATCTGCAAAGAAATAGAAGTTACAAAAAAAGAACAAAATGAAAAATATAAAAGTAAAAAATTATAAGTAAAATTTAAAACAAATTAAAAAACAACAAAAAATACCTAATTGTGCCCTGAATGGACACAATAACATAGTAGAGATGACAGAAGATAAAATCAATAACCTTGGAAACAGGTCAAAAGAATTGACCTGAAGAATTGAGGGGAATTAGACTAAGGAAAAAATAAGTACAGTAAACAACTTGTATGACAATAACAAAAGACCTAACGTTCATATAATTAGAATCCTGGAAGGAGAGTAGATAAAAGGAGAATTGCAAAAAACATGTGAAGAAATACTTAGCTGAAAGTTCTCAGTTTTGAAACAAACAAACAACAACAACAAAAAACCATACAGATTCACAGAGCTTAGCAAAACCTAAATAATATAAGCTCACAGAAATACACATCAAGAAATATTAGATTAAATCTCTAGGATGAGAATAAACTGAAAGCAGCAAAGACAAATTACACTTTAACTACAGGGGAAAAAAACACTTCAAATAACCACGGATTTTTTATCTGAAACTGATTTTTTAATGCTGAGAGAAAATAATTAAAACTCTGAAATCTAAATGTGATAAAACTAAGCAGAGTAAAGGGAAATAAATAACTCTCATATAAAGAAAACTAAAACAGTTTGTCACCAGCACACCTATCCTTAAAGACTGGCTAAAGAATAATCTTCAGACAGGACATCATAAAAAAAAGTACTCTTGTAGCATCATGCAGGAGGAGGAAACAATGGAAAGAGCAAAAAAATTGGCATACGGGCAAGGTTGCAGGCATCTGTAATCCCAGCTACTCGGGAGGTTGTGTCAGGAGAATCGCTTGAACCTGAGAGGCAGAGGTTGCAGTGAGACGAGATTATGCCACTGCACTTCAGCATAGGTGACAGAGACTCTGTCTCAAAAAAAAAAAAAAAAAATGGCATAAAAATATTTTTTCCTTATAAGTTATAAAAATTTTATTTTTTCTGAAAAATTATAACATGATCTATTGTCATGAAAATGATCATTTAAAGTGAGACAATAAAAGGAACTTAAAGTAAGGTTTTCACGCTTCGCATGAAGAAATAAAATATTTATGCTAGTAGACTGTAATAAGTTACATGTATAATTCGATACCTAGAACAACCCCTAAAAAAAGTATATACTAACTGATTTGCTTAGGAGTTCTATATAAAATAATGTTGGGGTCCTCAAAAATATTCAAGCAAGCCAAAGACAATTAAGACAAGGTAAAATTGAAATGAAAAACAGAGGTAACATAAAACAAATAATTAAGAGGCAAACTAAAACACTAACACAACAATAATTACCTTAAATATAAAAGATCTAAATTTACTAAACAAAAGACATAAATTGCTAAAATTAAAAATGTCTTCTCTGTGAAAGACTCTGTTAATATAATCAAAGGAGAACACACAGATTAGAAGAAAATATTTACAAAGTATATATCAAGTAAAAAATTATATTCAAAATATACAACACTTACAACTGAATAATATACAACTAAACAACTTAATTACAAATGAGCAAAACATATAAAAATCAGTATTGTTTCTCTACACTAACAACAAGCCAAAAAGGAAATTAAGAAAATAATTCCATTTACAATAGCATCAAAAAGAATGTAATACTTAACAATAAACTTAATCAAGAAAGCAAAAGACTTGTCCACTGAAAACTACAAAACATGGTGGAGAGAAATTAAAGAAAACAAATAAATGGAAAAATTCCATCTACATGGATTGGGAGGATTAATGTTGCTAAGATGTGAATACTACCCACTTCCTATCAAATTGCCAATGATGTTTTTTGACAAAATAAAAAAAATTGATCCTAAAATGCATATGTAGCCACAACGAACCCAGAATAGAAAAAACAATTCTTAACAAGAACAAAGTTAGAGGTGTCATGTTTCCTAATATTAAGCCTTACTACAAATTTACTGTAATCAAAACAACATGATACTGGCATAAGGACAGGCATGTAGACCAACAAAATAGAACATAAAAAGTCCAGAAACAAATCTTAGGCTTACAGTCAAATTAGTTTTGACAAGATTACCAAGATCATTCAATTAGGAAAAGGATAGTCATTTTAACAAATGGTGCTAGGAAAACAATATCCACACTTGAAAGAATGAAATTGGACTCCTACACTACGCCATAGATGAAAGTTAATTCAAAATGGATAAGAGGCCAGACATGGTGGCTCATACCTGTAATCCCAGCACTTTGGGAGGCCATGGCGAGCAGATCACTTGAGCCCAGGAGTTTAAGACCAGCTTGGGCCACATGGCTAAACCCCACCTTTAACAAAATTACAAAAGTTAGCCAGGCACAGTGGCACATCCCTGTGGTCCCAGCTACTGGGGAGGCTGAGGTGGGAGGATTGCTTGAACCCAGGAGTCGAGGTTGCAATGAGCCTAGATGATGCCAGTGCACTTCAGCCTGGGCAACAGAGTGAGACCCTGTCTCAAAACAGACAACAATAACAACCACAACAACAACAAAAATGGGTCAGAGACCCAAATGTAGGAGCTAAAACTACCATAGGCTGGGTGGCTTGTAAACACTAGAAATTTATTTCTTACAGTTCTGAAAGCTGGTGAGTCTAAGATCAAGGCACCAGAAGATTCAGCGTCTAGTAAGGGCTACTTTCTCGTAAATAACCTTCTTCTCACTCTAACCCACATGGCAGAAGTGGCAAAGGGTCTCTCTCAGATTTCTTTTATAAGGGCATTGATCCCCTTCATGAGGGCTCTGTCCCCATCACCTAATTATTCTAAAGTTCCCACCTTCTAATAGCATTACCTTGGGGGTGAAGATTTCAACAAAGAAATTTCACAGGGGCATAAACATTCAGACCCTAGCAATCTGCCAACAACAAAGGCCTACAGGCAATAAAATTCCAGTAGCAATTAGCACACATGTCACTTAAATTTTGTTTTTTGATACATTCTTCAAGAAAGAAAACAGGGAAACTTGGAGAAATGACTGAATTTAGGGCTTGGGCAGGAAATATAGAACATGAGCTTTCAGCATCAAGTAGTGCCAAAAAGTAAAGAAGTGCTTTAAAAAGTCTATGAAAAGTCTATGGATGCAGGTATGTCAAGCAGACAAACACCAATTGAAAAGTTCCTGATTGCCAAAATAGTAACAATTAGAGCAACAAGAGAAAGTAGTATTGGATTAGATCTCAAGTATAAAATAAATAGCCAATTTTCCATACTGAAATACATAAAGTATTGAATAAATTAATAAATGTGGATGAAGGACAAGTTTTAATTGCAGAATTCCAAAAAATTTATGTAGATATAACTTCCCACTCAATAAGCCACATAGTAACTTTCTTACAAAAAGGAAGAGAATGAAAGAGTAGAAAACGGCAGAATCAAAGAGTAATTTTACAGGCAGGAAACCTGACACACATTATCTCAGCCAAGTGATTAAGTCAATATTAACAGTCATAAATCTCATTGATAGTATGTATTTTTGATATGATGTGGTGAAGTGAAACATCACCTCCATGGAATTTCTCCCAAGAACTCATAATCCCCAGTCTTATTATAATAAAAATATCAAATTCCAATATTGGAACATCCTACAAAATACCTGATAAATACTTCTGAAAATTGCCAAGGTCCTTGAAACCAAGAAAAGTCCAAGAAACTGCCACAGCCAAAAGCTACCTAAAGAGACATGGCAAATAAAGCGATATTATATCCTGGATGAGATCCTGGAGCACAAAAAAAGACATCAGGTAAAAATGAAGGAAATCTAAACTATGGACTTTAGTTCATAACAAGAAGTCAATATTGGCTCATTTATTTTAACAAATATACTAATGTAAATTATTAATTATAAAAAATGGGTGTGGGATATATAGGAATTGTATGTTCTATCTGCTCAATTTTTCTGTAAGCCTGAAACAATTTTAAAAATGAAATTTATCAAAAAGAACAAACACAGAGATTGGTAAAGTAATTTTTAAAAAACAACCAAATACATGGTTTTTACAAAATTATTTCAAATTTGATAACATAGAAAATTTAAAGAGAAAGAGGGACATATATACAACACTCTACCTACTAACATCAGAATACACATATTTTTAAGTGACCATGAAGCATTCACCAACACAGAACATATTTTGGGCCATAAAACTGGAGTCAACAAATTTAAGAAAAAAATATGAAGATTGTTTTATCTGATCATAATGGTATCAAACTAGAAATCAATACCAGAAAGACAAAAGAAAATATTTAAACACTTGAGGATACTAAATGACACATTTTTAAATAATTCATCTCTCAAAGAGGAAATTACAAAGAAAAAAATATATGTGTTTGTGTGTGTGATTTAAATGAAAATACAACATACTGAAACTTGATGTATGTAGCTAAATCCATGTTGACAGGGAAATTTATCTTACTGAGTGCTTATATTAGAAAAATAGGAAAGTTAAGTCAATAGTCTAAGTTACTACCTCAAGAAAGTAGAAAATGGAAAGCAAAGTAAACAGTATAAGTAAAAAGAAGGAAATAATAATAATATGGACAGAAATCAAGGCAAATAACCAGAAAATAATGAAGAAAATAAATATAGTTATTTTTATATTAATAATATTTAGAAACTTCCATCAAGGCTAATAAAAATAGAGAAGATCCAAACCACCAACACCATAAATGAAAATAAAGAGAGACGTCACAAACCACCAACATCATGAAAGAAGCGAGGAATACTGTAACAGGTCCTGAAGAAATAAAATAATAATTAGAAAACACTAAAATGAACTTTATACTCATGAATTCAAGACCAACTTTATACTCATGAATTCAAGACCATGACTAACAAAACTCAAACAAGACCAAATACATAACCATATTCATTGTACAACCTTTAAAGAAAGTGAATTAATAAGTAGAATGTTCCTGAAAAGTTCATCTTCAGGAACAGGTGATTTTAATTTTTCAAATGTTTCTAGTAAATATTCATTTCAACTTTAAATAATCTTTTCCAGAGAAAGTAATAAAAAGAAACATCTCATTTTATGAGATAAGTATTATCCTGATACTAAAGCCAGACAAAAACTATACAAAAATGAAAAATTAAAGAAGACTAATATGCCTTATGAAGATAAACACAAAAACCTTTAACAAAATACTAGTGAATGAAGCACAACAATATACAAACAGAGTTATTTACAATGACTGAAAAATTTATGTCAGGCAAGGCTGGTTAAATAATCAAGAATCAATCTACATAATAAATCATATCAACAGTCTAAGGAAGAAGAAAACTCATGTGATTATATAAATTGATACAAAAAGGTATTTTATATAACTCAACACAATTCAAAACACAAAACAAACCAACAAACACTCAGCAAGTTAGGATTAGAGAGAAAAACTTACACATCTTGATATAGAGCATCTACAAATGCTAACATCACTGAAGCATCATATTTATTAGAGCTAACATCATACTTAATTGTGAAAGGCTGAATACTTTCAGGGACAAGGCAAGGATGTCCATTCTCCTAACTCTTTTTCAACATGATATTAGAACTTTTGGCATCTGTAATAGGAAAATGAATAACGATAATATATATACAAACTGGAAAAAAAAGAATTTTTTATTTGCATATGCATGATTGTAGATGCAGGAACATTCAACAAGTCTACTAAAGAGAAGTTTAAAAATTACTAAAACTAATAATTGAGTGTAGCAACACTGCAGCATACACAATTACCACACAATAATCAACTGCATTTCTATATACCAATAGTGACTACATGAAAATCATCTTTAAAACTGAAGTATCATTTATAATCTATCCAAAAATATTAAATACTTAGGTGGAGGCTTAACAAAACATAAAGGTTTTTCATGCTGACAATTACAAAATGCTAATGACATAAACAAAGAATTAAATAAATGGCAAGACATACCATGTCTATAAAATGGAAGACTCAGCATGCTAAAGATGTCAATTTTATCCTAAATGATTTATAAGTTTAACTAATTTCCAATAAAAATTCCAGCAAGTTTTTTTTGCTTGTTTTTGTGTGTGTGCTTTAAAAAAAAAAAAACACACAAACAATCTTACTCTAATATTTATATCGAGAAAGTGATTCCAGAAGAAACTGTGGAGTTAAGTCCTTCAAAAATCTGTTCCTCCATAAAAAACTAAAACAAGACCACTGGAAAAAATGGTCAAAATGAACTATTCAGAGTTCTGGAAATTAACTAAATGTTTGCAACAATCCAAGGGACACTTATTCAATAGAAACACCTATGTCTCAATAAGGAGAGCAAGCTTTGTGGCATTTTTACTCTCCCTATTTTGATTCCACTTTCCCCAGTTCCATGGTGGCCTTGAAAACCAACAGTTCCACAAATAGCTAGCAGCCTAACAGGAACTGAAAATAGTAGAAAATGTTTGAAGCATGCAAAAGCATCATTTCTGAAGAATTGTCATTATTTGACCTGTTTGGCAGTACATGTAATGCCTCAATTGCAGAGCTCGTCTTTATTTGGCCTAAGATCTCATTCCATGGAAACAGTCTTTCTCCCAAGGAAGTCTGTCAGAAACAATTAATAAAAATGGTTTAGCATCCTAGTTTTTTGAAATACAGATAACAGTTGGGGCAAAAAGAATGGAATAAAAAAACTTAAAAAGAAAAGCTGAGAAATCAAGATTTACATATGGGACTTTGAAATATTCTGACATATACATGGGAATCCAGAAGGAAACACAGACATAAGGTTGTGTATATACTCAGAAAAGAAAACTGAGAAAACCCTAAACTTTCACCTCTATCTTGCCTTGAGGCTCTGTGTAAGCAGAAAGTGAAGGAAAAGGCAGAGCTCCCAACTATATGATAGAATGTCAAAGTTATGCTAAAATATGCATGCTGAGCCCTCTGGGTTAGGAGATTATTGATTCAAAATTTTTACTGAAATGTCTCTTTAATCATTAGCAGGGCTCTGTGGAGAAACCTCAGTGGTCACATGCAACAAAGAATGCAGATTGTCTTCAACCATTTGCACACGAAGGATATGAACAGACACTTCTCAAAAGAAGACATTTATGCAGCCAACAAATATATGAAAAAAAGCTCATCATCACTGGTCATTAAAGAAATGCAAATCAAAACCATAATGAGATACCATCTCACGCCAGTTAGAATGGCGATCATTAAAAAGTCAAGAAAACAACAGATGCTGGAGAGGATGTGGAGAAATAGGAAAGCTTTTACACTGTTGGTGGGAGTGTAAATTAGTCCAACCATTGTGGAAGACAGTGTGGTGATTCCTCAAGGATCTAGAACTAGAAATACCATTTGACCCAGCAATCCCATTACTGGGTATATACCCAAAAGATTATAAATCATTCTACTATAAAGACACATGCACACGTATGTTTACTGCAGCACTATTCACAATAGCAAAGACTTGCAAGCAATCCAAATGCCCATCAATGATAGACTGGATTAAGAAAATATGGCATATATATACCATGGAACACTATGCAGCCAATAAAAAAAAGGATGAGTGCATGTCCTTTGCAGGGACATGGATGAAGCTGGAAACCATCATTCTCAGCAACTAGCACAGGAACAGAAAACCAAACACCGCATGTTCTCACTCATAAGTGGGAGTTGAATAATGAGAACACATGGACACAGGGAAAGGAACATCACACACTAGGGCCTTTTGGGAGCTGGGGGGCTAGGAGAGGGATAGCATTAGGTGAAATACCTAATGTAGATGTCGGGTTGATGGATGCAGCAAACCACCATGGCACATGTATACCTATGTAACAAAACTGCACTTTCTGCACATGTACCCCAGAACTTAAAGTATAATTTAAAAAAAATACTTCAGTCTGGGTGGTTTTTAAAAAACAGAAATGTCTTTTTCACAGTTCTGGAGGCTGGGAAGTCCAAATCACAGTACAAACAGATTTAGTGTCTAACGAGGGACCATTTTTCTTCATAGATGGCAACTTCTTTCTGTGTCCTCTCATGATAGAAAGGGCCAAAAAGCTTGCTGGGATCTCCTTCATAATATCACTAATTTTATTCATGAGCACTCCACCTTCATGACCTAATTATGACCTAATATTTCAAAGATCCCATCTCCTAACATTGTTGCATTGGTGATTAGATTACAACACATGCATTTGGTGGGGAGTAGGAGGGACACAAACTTTCAAACCATAGCACAGATCTTAATGAATTAATTTAGGAAAGTCACAAAGACATAAACAGCAGCAGCTGCAACAAAAGCAACAATAACAAATTGCAGCAACACCAAACACCATACCTAGGTAAAAAGAACGAAACTGGAGGAATCATATTATCTCACTTCAAATTATACCACAGATCTATATTAACCAAAACAGCATGGTACTGGCATGAAAAACACATAGAACAATGGAACAGAATAGAGAACCCCAAAACAAGTCCACACACCTACAGCAAACTCATTTTTGGTAAAGGTGCCAAAAACATACACTGGGGAAACAGAATTCTCCTCAATAAATAGTTCTGGAAAAATTGGATATTCATATGCAGAAGAATGATACTAGACCCCTATTTCTCACCATATACAAAAATTGAATCACAATGAATTAAAGACTTACATTTAAGACTGAACCGTGAAATTATCATAAGAAAACATTGGGAACAATCTGTGCTACTATATGATCCAGCAATCTCATTGCTGGGTATGTACCAAGAGAAAGAAAATCATTATATCAAAGAAATATCTGCACTCCTATGTTTCTCAGAAAACTAAAAATTGAGCTATCTTATGATCTAATAATCATGCTGCTTAGTATATACCCCAAAACTGGAGATCAATATATAATAGAGACATCCACAATCCTATGTTTGTTGCAGCACTGTCTACAATAGCTAAGACTTGGAAGCAACCTACGTGTTCATCAGTAGATTAATGAATAAAATATGTGGTGTATATACACAATGGAGTACTATTCAGCCATAAAAAAGAATGAAATTCAGTCATTTGCAACAACATGAATGGAACTGGAGATCATTATGTTAAGTGAAATAAGCCAGGTACAGAAAGACAAACATTGCATGTTCCCACTTATTTATGGGATCTAAACATAAATAACATTGAGATTACGGTCATAGAAAGCAGGAAGATAGTTACTGGAGACTGGGAAGAGTTGCAGGGGTTTGAGGAAAACATGAGGATGATTAATGAGTACAAAAAAAAATAGAATAAATAAGACCCACTATTTGATAGCATAGTAGCATGACTACAGTCAATAAAAATTGTATATTTTAGAATAACTTAAAGAATGTAATTAGATTGTCTATAACTCATAAATGTTTGAGAGGATAGTTACCCCATTCTTCATGATATACTTATTTCACATTGCATGTCTTTATCAAAATATATCACATACCCTATAAATATATACATGTACTGTGTACCCACAAACATTTTAGAAAATAATAATGAAAAAAACTTAATTAATGGTATTGGAAAATAATATATGAAGGATCTGTTTCTTCTCTAGCTTGGCCTGATTATTAGGTAAAGTTTTGAGTTTTCTTTCATGTTGTATTTTTAGGGTGTGTGTGGGTTGGAGAGGCATTATAATTTACAAACAGTAAAATGTACCCTCTTCCCTATAGAGTTCTATGATTGCTGACAAATATATCCAACCATATAACTATCAGAAAAGTCAAGATATAGATTTGTTCCATTACCCTAAAACATTTTATTATGCTCTTTGTAATCAATTCTTACCCCCAGTACCTGACAACCACCCATCAGTTTTCTCTTCCTATTGTTTCATCTATTTAAGAATGTCATATTAATGAAATTACGTATAATACACACTTTTAATGTATGTTTTTGCTTTACAGAATACATTCGAGATTCATCCATGTTGTTGGTTGTTGAGTGTATTCATAGTTGATTCCTTAATTGCCGAGTAGTATTCTGTTGTATAGATCGATGTACTGTTGTCTGCTTATTCATTAACCCATTAAGGGGAATTATGTTGTTTCTGTTTTCTGGCAATTATGAATATAGCAGTTGTAAAAATTATTGTACAGTTTGTTTTTCGTGTGTGAACTGAAAATCTTATTTCACTTGGGAAATCACCTAGCAGTAAGATTACAAGGTAACATGTTAAGTGTATGATTAATGTTCTAAGTAACTACTAAACAGTTTTCTCAAGTAGCAATATAATCTTGCTTTCCGACCAACAGTATGTGAGAGATCCAGTTGTTCTATATCTTCATCAATGCTTGGTATGTCATTGAAAAAAATGTTTTTGCCATTCTAATGCATGTTTGGAGAAATCTCATGTTTTTCCTCTGGCAATTCCCTGATAACTAATGGGGTTAATTTTTCACATTCTCGTTTGCCATATGAATATTTAATTTATTCAAATGTCCATTGATATGTATTGTTCTTTTTTGAAAAATTGTTGTTTACACAATGTTGAGATTTGAATGTCCTTTATACATTCTGGTTATATGTCCCTTGTCAGATATATGATCTGAAAATATTTTCTCCCAGAAAAAGTGTGAATTTTCTTTCCATTATTAACAGTGTATTTGAAAGAGCAGAAGTTTTTAGTTTGGATACTGTTCAATTTATCTAGGTTTATTCTTCTGTGAATATGCTTTTTGTAAAATATGTAATATATATATTTTTGTAACTCCAAGAGGAAAACATTTTCTCTTACATTTTCACCTTGAATTTGTCTAGTTTGCAGTTTTATATTTAGGTCTATGAAACATCATGAGCCAGTTTTTGTATATAATGCATTTTGTATTAATTTTATTTTTATTGGCACTAGAGGAGCTAAACTTCCATGGGGAAAAAATACAAACCTTGACCTAAACCTTACCCCTCATGTAAAAATCCATTCAAAATAGATCATGGACCTAAATGTAAAGCACACACCTGAAAACATTTATTAAAATCATGGTAGAATATCCTTGGGTCCTATGGCTAGTCAAAGTGTTCTTAGATTTTATAACAAAATCCAAATCCATAAAACTTTGCTACATTGGACATAATTAAAATTGAAACTAAAAACATTTGCTCTTTGAAGGTCCATGTGAAGAAGAAAAGACAAGGAACAGACTGGGAGGAAATATTTGCAAACCACATATCCAACAACAGCAACAACAAAACTTGTATCTAGAGCCTATAAAGTACTAATAGCACAATATTAAATAATTAAATAACCCAATCATAAAATGGGTTAATAATCTGAATATACATTTCTCCAAAGTGGCTCTCTAGATAGTATTATAAACACACAAAAGTATTTTCAACATCATTAACCATTATTTCCACCAATTCTCTTTACCATAATAAAAGCTTCCAATGCTCAAGTTAATGTTCAGATATCTCCTAAAACAATTGTTTGAAACATCATAGTTAAAATCTTTTAAAGCTAGCAAATTAAATATTGTAAGGGTACAAAAAAGAATCAGAATTTAGTCCAGAGTGGCTGATCATTAACATTGCTAACTTTGATGAAATTAAATTTCTGTGAAGCTCCATTACTTTGGTTTTCCTAATATCATCAGATATTCTATGTGTCTTCATTTGAAGAGTTTAAGCCTATCTCATACTTAATTAGAATTTTTAAGGAAGAAGTAGTAGAATAAATATTTTTATAAACTTGATAATTTAGAGCAGTTTTAAATAAAAATAAAATCATATGTTTTCCATATACTCTGCATCCAGTTTCTCCTATAACTAGTATCTTAGAAAAATAGATTTGTTATAATTAACAAACTAGTATTGATATCTTATTAACTAAAGTCCACATTTATGCACATTTTCATAGTTTTTACTGCATGTCCTTTTCCTATCTTAGATTCCCAAACATAATACCACACTATATTTAGTAGTCATGTCTCCTTTGGCTCCACGTAGCTATGATGGTTTCTCAGATTTTCCATTTCTGTTCTGATGACTTTTGACAGTTTTGAGGAGTTCAGGTTATTTTGTAGAATGTTCCTACATTGTAATTTCTTTGATGTTTTTCTCATTAGGCTGGGATAATTGATATTTGGTTGCAAGATCACAGAGATTAAATGCCTTTCTTGTCATAGCATATCAAGAATATATGCTATCAATATGACTTTTTAATGTTGATATTAATCACTTGGCTATGGTAGTTTGTCAAGTTGCTACACTGTAGTTCCTTTTTTTATTCCTTTGTAATGTGTATTTTTTGGAAGAAAGTCACAATATAAAGACCACATCTAAGAAACTGGGAGATGAGCTCTGCTTCCTTAAGGTGAATGTATCTTAACAAATTATTTGTAATTCTTCTGCAGAGGAGATTTTTCTATTCTCCCTTATTTGTCTATTTATTAATTCATTTTTAATATCTGTATGGACTTGTAAATATTTATTTTATAATTTTAGCTATAATGCAATACTACTATATTCATTTTGTTCGGTCTGTCATCAATACGATGTTCTTTGTAAGTTTTCCTATCTGCCTTATTAGATAAAGGATGTTTCCCTCTGAGATGATTTGGATCTGTTTCCCCATCCAATCTCACATTGAAATGTAATCCCCATTGTTGGAGATGGGGCACGTGGAAAGTGTTTAGATCATGAAAATGTGTATCCCTCATGAATGACTTAGCACCATCCCCTTAGTGATGAGTGGGTTCACACAAGATCTGGTTATTTAAAACTCTGTAGGATTTCCCATTCTCTCTCTTGCTCTAGCTCAAGCCATGTGATGTGCCAGTTCCCACTTTGCCTTCCACCATGAATAAAGGCTCCCAGAGGCCTCATCAGAAGTCCAGCAGATGCCATCACCATACTTTCTGCACAACCTGCAGAACTGTTAGCCAATTAGGTTTATTTTCTTTACAATTTATCCAGTTTTGGTCATTTCTTCATAACAATGCAAGACTGGGCTAACACACCTTCTATTCCTGACTTTTGAGTTTTTAATCGTAAATGGATATTAAATTTTGTAAAATGCATTTAATGTATCTATTGATATGATTTCTCATATTTAGCCTGCTAACAAGATAAATTACATTGATTGATTTATGAATGTAAAACCATACTTGCATTCCTATAATGAATCAGTTGTGGTGAATTACTCTTTTTATATCTTACCATTTTTGATTTGCTAATACTTTAAAGGATTTTTGTATATACTCTATGTTCATAAGATATGTTGGTATTTTTTTAACCGTAAGTGTTATTTAGAGCTATATTCTCTATTTTATAAATAGTTCAGGTTTTATGGCCACATTTCAGTTACTGATTTCTACAGTAAATCTGTTACCCTCTGAGAACGTACTTTACATAATTTCTAGCATTTTCAACCTGCAAATGTTTATTTTATGGCCTATACTGTGATGTATCTTCATGAGTGTTCCATCCTGATGAGTGTTCCATCTGCACATGAGAAGAACGTGTATTCTTATGATGCTGTACAGAATATTCTATAATGCCAATTTGTTGATAGTGTTGTTCAGTTTATCTTTAGCCTTATCATTTTCTGCCTGCTCTATTTATCATTTACTGACAAGGGAGTGTCAAACTATGCAACTATAATAGGATATTTGTCTATTTCTCCTTTCAGTTCTATAAATTTTTGCATATATTTTGATGCTGTTTTGTTAGGTACACACCCTTTTATGATTATGTCTGCTTTGAGAATTGATCCTTCTTTCATTATTTAATGTTTCTTTTACTCCTGATACTCTTTTTTGTTCTGAAGATTGCTTTCTCTGAAATTAATAGAGGTAATTCAGCTTCTTTTTATGCTTTGTGTTTGCATGATATATCTTTCTTCATCATTTTATTTCACTTCTAAAAGTCTTTATATTTAAATTGGGTTTGCTCTACACAGCATATAATTAGGTATCATATTTTTGTTTTGTTTTCTTGATACTGTTTTTTGTTTCTTAATCTAATCTACAATTTATGATTTTTTATGCCATTGAACTAACAAATGTGCATTTTGTCTTTACTACATATGTATGTCCCCATAAACAAATATTCTATAAATTTGTGTGTTTTAATTTATATATGTTGCTTCCTACTCTAAGTACCCTTTTGAAGGTTTGATTTTTACTTAACATTATCTTTTCTTTTTTTTTCTTTTTATTTATTTATTATTATTATACTTTAAGTTTTAGGGTACATGTGCACAATGTGCAGGTTAGTTACATATGTATACATGGGCCATGCTGGTGCGCTGCACCCACTAACTCGTCATCTAGCATTAGGTATGTCTCCCAATGCTATCCCTCCCCCCTCCCCCCACCCCACAACAGTCCCCAGAATGTGATGTTCCCCTTCCTGTGTCCATGTGTTCTCATTGTTCAATTCCCACCTATGAGTGAGAATATTCAGTGTTTGGTTTTTTGTTCTTGCGATAGTTTACTGAGAATGATGATTTCCAATTTCATCCATGTCCCTACAAATGACACGAACTCATCATTTTTTATGGCTGCATAGTATTCCATGGTGTATATGTGCCACATTTTCTTTATCCAGTCTATCATTGTTGGACATTTGGGTTGGTTCCAAGTCTTTGCTATTGTGAATAATGCCACAATAAACATACGTGTGCATGTGTCTTTATAGCAGCATGATTTATAGTTCTTTGGGTATATACCCAGTAATGGGATGGCTGGGTCAAATGGTATTTCTAGTTCTAGATCCCTGAGGAATCGCCACACTGACTTCCAGAATGGTTGAACTAGTTTACAGTCCCACCAACGGTGTAAAAGTGTTCCTATTTCTCCATATCCTCTCCAGCACCTGTTGTTTCCTGACTTTTTAATGATTGCCATTCTAACTGGTGTGAGATGGTATCTCATTGTGGTTTTATTTGCATTTCTCTGATGGCCAGTGATGGTGAGCATTTTTTCATGTGTTTTTTGGCTGCATAAATGTCTTCTTTTGAGAAGTGTCTGTTCATGTCCTTCGCCCACTTTTTGATGGGGTTGTTTGTTTTTTTCTTGTAAATTTGTTTGAGTTCATTGTAGATTCTGGATATTAGCCCTTTGTCAGATGAGTAGGTTGTGAAAATTTTCTCCCATTTTGTAGGTTGCCTGTTCACTCTGATGGTAGTTTCTTTTGCTGTGCAGAAGCTCTTTAGTTTTATTAGATCCCATTTGTCAATTTTGTCTTTTGTTGCCATTGCTTTTGGTGTTTTAGACATGGAGTCCTTGCCCATGCCTATGTCCTGAATGGTATTGCCTAGGTTTTCTTCTAGGGTTTTTATGGTTTTAGGTCTAACGTTTAAGTCTTTAATCCATCTTGAATTAATTTTTGTATAAGGTGTAAGGAAGGGATCCAGTTTCAGCTTTCTACATATGGCTAGTCAGTTTTCCCAGCACCATTTATTAAATAGGGAATCCTTTCCCCATTGCTTGTTTTTCTCAGGTTTGTCAAAGATCAGATAGTTGTAGATATGCGGCGTTATTTCTGAGGACTCTGTTCTATTCCATTGATCTATATCTCTGTTTTGGTACCAGTACCATGCTGTTTTGGTTACTGTAGCCTTGTAGTACAGTTTGAAGTCAGGTAGGGTGATGCCTCCAGCTTTGTTCTTTTGGCTTAGGATTGACTTGGCAATGAGGGCTCTTTTTCGGTTCCATATGAACTTTAAAGTAGTTTTTTCCAATTCTGTGAAGAAAGTCATTGGTAGCTTGATGGGGATGGCATTGAATCTATAAATTACCTTGGGCAGTATGGCCATTTTCATGATATTGATTCTTCCTATGAGCATGGAATGTTCTTCCATTTGTTTGTATCCTCTTTTATTTCCTTGAGCAGTGGTTTGTAGTTCTCCTTGAAGAGGTCATTCACATCCCTTGTAAGTTGGATTCCCAGGTGTTTTATTCTCTTTGAAGCAATTGTGAATGGGAGTTCACTCATGATTTGGCTCTCTGTTTGTCTATTGTTGGTGTATAAGAATGCCTGTGATTTTTGTACATTGATTTTGTATCCTGAGACTTTGCTGAAGTTGCTTATCAGCTTAAGGAGATTTTGGGCTGAGACAATGGGGTTTTCTAGGTATACAATCATGTCGTCTGCAAACAGGGACAATTTGACGTCCTCTTTTCCTAATTGAATATCCTTTATTTCCTTCTCCTGCCTAATTGTCCTGGCCAGAACTTCCAACACTATGTTGAATAGGAGTGGTGAGAGAGGGCATCCCTGTCTTGTGCCCGTTTTCAAAGGGAATGCTTCCAGTTTTTGCCCATTCACTATGATATTGGCTGTGGGTTTGTCATAGATAGCTCTTATTATTTTGAAATACGTCCCATCAATACCTAATTTATTGAGAGTTTTTAGCATGAAGCGTTGTTGAATTTTGTCAAAGGCCTTTTCTGCATCTATTGAGATAATCATGTGGTTTTTGTCTTTGGCTCTGTTTATATGCTGGATTACATTTATTGATTTGAGTATATTGAACCAGCCTTGCATCCCAGGGATGAAGCCCACTTGATCATGGTGGATAAGCTTTTTGATGTGCTGCTGGATTCGGTTTGCCAGTATTTTATTGAGGATTTTTGCATCAATGTTCATCAAGGATATTGGTCTAAAATTCTCTTTTTTGGTTGTGTCTCTGCCTGGCTTTGGTATCAGGATGATGCTGGCCTCATAAAATGAGTTATGGAGGATTCCCTCTTTTTCTATTAATTGGAATAATTTCAGAAGGAATGGTACCAGTTCCTCCTTGTACCTCTGGTAGAATTCGGCTGTGAATCCATCTGGTCCTGGACTCTTTTTGGTTGGTAAGCTATTGATTATTGCCACAATTTCAGATCCTGTTATTGGTCTATTCAGAGATTCAACTTCTTCCTGGTTTAGTCTTGGGAGAGTGTATGTGTCGAGGAATTTATCCATTTCTTCTAGATTTTCTAGTTTATTTGCATAGAGGTGTTCGTAGTATTCTCTGATGGTAGTTTGTATTTCTGTGGGATCAGTGGTGATATCCCCTTTATCATTTTTTATTGCATCTATTTGATTCTTCTCTCTTTTTTTCTTTATTAGTCTTGCTAGCGGTCTATCAATTTTGTTGATCCTTTCAAAAAACCAGCTCCTGGATTCATTAATTTTTTGAAGTGTTTTTTGTGTCTCTATTTCCTTCAGTTCTGCTCTGATTTTAGTTATTTCTTGCCTTCTGCTAGCTTTTGAATGTGTTTGCTCTTGCTTTTCTAGTTCTTTTAATTGTGATGTTAGGGTGTCAATTTTGGATCCTTCCTGCTTTCTCTTGTGGGCATTTAGTGCTATAAATTTCCCTCTACACACTGCTTTGAATGTGTCCCAGAGATTCTGGTATGTTGTGTCTTTGTTCTCGTTGGTTTGGTTTCAAAGAGCATCTTTATTTCTGCCTTCATTTCATTATGTACCCAGTAGTCATTCAGGAGCAGGTTGTTCAGTTTCCATGTAGTTGAGCGGTTTTGAGTGAGATTCTTAATCCTGAGTTCTAGTTTGATTGCACTGTGGTCTGAGAGATAGTTTGTTATAATTTCTGTTCTTTTATATTTGCTGAGGAGAGCTTTACTTCCAAGTATGTGGTCAATTTTGGAATAGGTGTGGTGTGGTGCTGAAAAAAATGTATATTCTGTTGATATGGGGTGGAGAGTTCTGTAGATGTCTGTTAGGTCTGCTTGGTGCAGAGCTGAGTTCAATTCCTGGGTATCCTTGTTGACTTTCTGTCCCGTTGATCTGTCTAATGTTGACAGTGGGGTGTTAAAGTCTCCCATTATTAATGTGTGGGAGTCTAAGTCTCTTTGTAGGTCACTCAGGACTTGCTTTATGAATCTGGGTGCTCCTGTATTGGGTGCATATATATTTAGGATAGTTAGCTCTTCTTGTTGAATTGATCCCTTTACCATTATGTAATGGCCTTCTTTGTCTCTTTTGATCGTTGTTGGTATAAAGTCTGTTTTATCAAAGACTAGGATTGCAACCCCTGCCTTTTTTTGTTTTCCATTTGCTTGGTAGATCTTCCTCCATCCTTTTATTTTGAGCCTATGTGTGTCTCTGCACATGAGATGGGTTTCCTGAATACAGCACACTGATGGGTCTTGACTCTTTATCCAATTTGCCAGTCTGTGTCTTTTAATTGGAGCATTTAGTCCATTTACATTTAAAGTTAATATTGTTATGTGTGAATTTGATCCTCTCATTATGATATTAGCTGGTTATTTTGCTTGTTAGTTGATGCAGTTTCTTCCTAGTCTCGATGGTCTTTACATTTTGGCATGATTTTGCAGTGGCTGGTACCAGTTGTTCCTTTCCATGTTTAGCACTTCCTTCAGGAGCTCTTTTAGGGCAGGCCTCGTGGTGACAAAATCTCTCAGCATTTGCTTGTCTATAAAGTATTTTATTTCTCCTTCACTTATGAAGCTTAGTTTGGCTGGATATGAAATTCTGGCTTGAAAATTCTTTTCTTTAAGAATGTTGAATATTGGCTCCCAGTCTCTTCTGGCTTGTAGAGTTTCTGCTGAGAGATCTTCTGTTAGTCTGATGTGCTTCCCTTTGAGGGTAACCTGACCTTTCTCTCTGGCTGCCCTTAACATTTTTTCCTTCATTTCAACTTTGGTGAATCTGACAATTATGTGTCTTGGAGTTGCTCTTCTCGAGGAGTATCTTTGTGGCGTTCTCTGTATCTCCTGAATCTGAATGTTGGCCTGCCTTGCTAGATTGGGGAAGTTCTCCTGGATAATATCCTGCAGAATGTTTTCCAACTTGGTTCCATTCTCCCCGTCACTTTCAGGCACACCAATCAGACGTAGATTTGGTCTTTTCACATAGTCCCATATTTCTTGGAGGCTTTGCTCGTTTCTTTTTATTCTTTTTTCTCTAAACTTCCCTTCTCACTTCATTTCATTCATTTCATCTTCCATCGCTGATACCCTTTCTTCCAGTTGATCACATCGGCTCCTGAGGCTTCTGCATTCTTCACGTAGTTCTCGAGCCTTGGTTTTCAGCTCCATCAGCTCCTTTAAGCACTTCTCTGTATTGGTTATTCTAGTTATACATTCTTCTAAATTTTTTTCAAAGTTTTCAACTTCTTTGTCTTTGGTTTGAATGTCATCCCATAGCTCGGAGTAATTTGATCGTCTGAAGCCTTCTTCTCTCAGCTCGTCAAAGTCATTCTCTGTCCAGCTTTGTTCTGTTGCTGGTGAGGAACTGCGTTCCTTTGGAGGATAGGTGCTCTGCTTTTTAGAGTTTCCAGTTTTTCTGCTCTGTTTTTTCCCCATCTTTGTGGCTTTATCTACTTTTGGTCTTTGATGATGGTGATGTACAGATGGGTTTTTGGTGTGGATGTCCTTTCTGTTTGTTAGTTTTCCTTCTAACAGACAGGACCCTCAGCTGCAGGTCTGTTGGAGTACCCGGCCCTGTGAGGTGTCAGTCTGCCCCTGCTTGGGGGTGCCTTCCAGTTAGGCTGCTTGGGGGTCAGAGGTCAGGGACCCACTTGAGGAGGCAGTCTGCCTGTTCTCAGATCTCCAGCTGCGTGCTGGAAGAACCACTGCTCTCTTCAAAGCTGTCAGACAGGGACATTTAAGTCTGCAGAGGTTACTGCTGTCTTTTTGTTTGTCTGTGCCCTGCCCCCAGAGGTGGAGCCTACAGAGGCAGGCAGGCCTCCTTGAGCTGTGGTGGGCTCCACCCAGTTCGAGCTTCCCCTCTGCTTTGTTTACCTAAGCAAGCCTGGGCAATGGTGGGCGCCCCTCCCCCAGCCTTGCTGCCACCTTGCAGTTTGATCTCAGACTGCTGTGCTAGCAATCAGCAAGACTCTGTGGGCGTAGGACCCTCTGAGCCAGGTGTGGGATATAATCTCCTGGTGCACCGTTTTTTAAGCCCGTCAGAAAAGTGCAGTATTCAGGTGGGAGTGACCCGATTTTCCAGGTGCCGTCTGACATCCCTTTCTTTGACTAGGAAAGGGAACTCCCTGACCCCTTGCACTTCCCGAGTGAGGCAATGCCTTGCCCCGCTTTGGCTCATGCACGGTGCACGCACCCACTGACCTGCGCCCACTGTCTGGCACTCCATGGTGAGATGAACCCGGTACTTCAGATGGAAATGTAGAAATCACCCGTCTTCTGCGTCGCTCTCACTGGGAGCTGTAGACCGGAGCTGTTCCTGTTAGCCATCTTGGCTCCTCCTCAACATTATCTTTTCTATATTTATCCCTCTTGATACAAGTAAATCAACTGAATTCATTTCTAATATTATATACTATTTTCTTATAAAAATAAGCTATCTCTAAGTCACCGATTTTCCTATTGGCAGAAAGTTAATTTATTTACACTTTATTTGCTGATATAAACAAGCGCTAAAGTAAATACTTTTTTTCATATGTTTCCTGGCATATATAAAATAGAACATATCTGATATAGACATTGAGGGTTGGAATTGTCTGGTCATGAAATATGCACATTTTTAATCTCACGAGATATTACCAAATGGCTCCCAAAAGTGATCATACCAATTAAAACTCTAATAAGTATTGTGTAAGAGTGTTCTTAAGTCTACATATTTCCCTACATTGGTGTTTATCAGTTGATCATACTTCCCAATTTCTTTTTTTTTAAATTCAACTTTTTTTTTAGATACAGGGCGTACATGTGCAGATTTTTTACATGGTTATATTGCACCCAGGTACTGACATATTACCCAATAGGTAGTTTTTCAACCCAGCTCCTTCTTTCCACCTCCCCGTCTAGTAGTCCACAGTGTCTGTTGTTCCCTTGTTTGAGTCCTTGTGTGCTCAATATTTAGCTACTATTTATAATTGAGAAAATGTGTTACACATACACCATGAAATACTACACAGCTATAGAAAAAAAAATAAAAGCATGTCCTTTGCAACAACATGGATAGAACTGAAGGCCATAATCCTAAGTGAATTAACACAGGAACAGAAAACCAATTTCTGATTTTGACTGGTGTATTTAGACTATTCAGGTATAAAGTGATTCCAAATATATTTGGAAGAAACTATATATACTATCTGTTTCTTTTTTTTTTTTTTTTTTTTTTTGAGACAGAGTTTCACTCTTGTTGCCCAGGCTGGAGTGCAATGGCATGATCTTTGCTCACCTCAACCTCCACCTCCCAGGTTCAGGTGATTCTCCTGCCTTAGCCTCCCGAGTAGCTGGGATTACAGGCATGCACCACCATGCCTGGCTAATTTTGTATTTTTAGTAGAGACAGCATTTCTCCATGTTGGTCAGACTGGTCTTGAACTCCTGACCTCATGTGATCTGCCTGCCTCAGCCTCCCAAAGTGCTGGGATTACAGATGTGAGCCACGACGCCCAGCCTATTATCTTTATGCTTTGTATTAATTGCATTTGCTCTTTCTTTTAAATGTTTCCTTCTGTGGCTCTCTCTGCTATTTATTGAACATTTATTATGATGCCATTTGTCTTCCATACTGACATATCATTTATAATTCCTTTTCATCATTTTAGTGGTTGCCTGAGGGTTTACTATATACATTTTTAAACAATCTAAGTTCCTCTTTAAATAATACTATTTCATTCAGATATAGTGCAGGTAATTTATGATATTCTTAATTCCTCTCTCATCTCTTCTGACACAGTCATCATTCATTTTATTTAAACATATGCTATAAATACTTCATACATTGTTATTATTATTGTTTTAAAGTGTCAATTATCTTTTGGGAAATTAAGAAAAACATAAAAGATATTTTACCTTTATTTATTTGTTGTGCTCCACTCTTCTTTTTTTTGTATATTCTCAATTTTTCTGACCTATATAAGTTTCTTTCTGTGAAGAACTTCCTTTAACAATTTTTGTAGGGCTAGTCTACTAGTAATAATTTTTTTTTTGAGAAAGGATTTTTTTTCAATCTTAAAGTACATGTTTTGCTGAGTATAGAATTTTTGATTGGCAGAATTTTTCTTTTAAAATTTTAAATATTGTATGCCATTATTTTCCTGTTGACATAATATCTGATAAGACGTCTTCAGCAATTCTTATCTATGTTTTGTTATGTGTGATAATTAATTTTAAGTGTCAATTTGGATACCTCATTGTGCCCAAATATTTGGTCACACATTATTCCAGATATTTTTATGAAGATTGTTTTCCATGAGATTAGCATATAAATTAGTCAACTTTGAGCAAAAGAGATTTCCCTCTGTAAGTTGGGTGGGTCTCATCCACTCAGTTAAGAACTGAATAGAACAAAAGTACTGACTTCCCCCAAGCAAAGAGTAATTCTGCCAGTAGATATCCTTTGGATTTGAACTGCAATGTTGGTTCCTTCCTGAAACTTTATTTTGATGGCCTTCAGACTTGAACTACATTATTTGCTCTTCTTTGGGTCTCCAACCTGCCAATCCATCCTGCAGCTTTTGGATTTGCCTGCTACCATAATCATGTGAGCCAACTTCTTAAAATAAACTTCTGTATCTCTCTCTCTATGGAGAGACAAAAATAGAGCCTATTGGTTCTATTGTTTATATTTTTTGGGAGAATCCTGACTAATACAGTGTGTTATCTTTTCTTAGGGTTCTCTAAGCTTCTTAGATCCATGTATTGGTGACTGTCACTAATTTAACATTTTTCAACTACTATTTCTTCAAATTTTTATTTTGTTTCATTTTGCCTTTTTCTTCTAGTATTACAGTTTTGCAGATATTTTCCCACAGTTCTTGAATGTTCTGTTCTATTTTTGTCACTTTTTTATTCAATTTCAGTTTGAAAATTTTCTATTTACCTGTCTTCAAATTTACTGACTTTTTATTTAGTTGTGTTGGGTATACTGATGAACTATGGAGAGCATTCTTCATTTTTGTTGCCATATTTTTTAAAAATAATTTATAACCTTTTCTTTTTATTCTTACAATTTGCATCTCTCCTCTTATGTGACCCTTCTGGTTTTGCCTGTCCTGTACCTTTTTCATTAGAGATTTTGACAAGGTAATCATAATCATTTTTAAATTTCCTCTCTGACAATTCCAACATTCATGTCATAAGTGAGTCTGTGTCTCATTAATACTTTGTCTTCTGACTGTGTGTTGTTTGTTTATTTGTTTGCTTCTTGCCTTTTGGGCATGTCTTAGAACTTTTTGTTGAATGCTGAACATATCATATATGTTAATAGATGTTTGGTATACATGTTATCTGGCCAAGAGTTGTGTTATGTTTGATGTTTGTTGTAGCTATGGACACTGGAAGATTCATATTTCTCTAGTAATCATGTTTTTTTTCTCTCCTCTTGAATTTTGGGCTTCTCTATTCTGCTTCTCAGAAAGTTTTATTTATTTATTTTTTCTTTTAGCTCTTTTAGTTGTAATCCACTGTAACCATTATTGGAGGCATTACTAGTATAGTGATCATATAGGAAAGAAGGATATAAGGCATTCTCTAGGTTTTATGTTTTATTCTCAAGTTTTGGAATGCATAGTAAGCTGTGTTTCAGAGCTGTGACTTTTGTAATTCGTGTTTCTTTTTTTTCTTTAGGGGTAGACTCTTTTTCACCCTGCCTCCTAATTCCTTCCCTTCCCTTGGCAGAGTCACAAAGGGAGCACTCTTAGGATTTTTCTAAATCCACTCTATGAAAGCCTGGTGGAGCTTCTGCAGGAAAGCCTACAGAAATGAGGGGTATTCCTGTGACTGCAGCCTCCAGAAGCTAGCCCACATTTGGGCACCATAAATTCATCAGAATTTCTAGTTTAATGTTCTTACTGCCTTCTAGGGTGTCTGGCAGTGTCTGCTCCAGATAAGAAATTGCTCATGTGTTTTGTCCTTCTGAAAATAACTGTTTCTAAATATTTCAAGGAAATCCAGTAACTTCACTTCTCTGATGAGTCCAAAAAGTGTCAACTGTTTTTCAGTTTTTCCAGCTTTTCCTTGTTAAAAGAATGAAAGTGACAAATTCTAAGCTCTTATTTGTCTTAGCTGATCTATCTTAGATTTCTGAAGTATCCAAACATGTCATTAGCAATGATATGGAAGGAAAATTCTGGGAAAGGAAGGGCATGATCCCTTTAAATTATACGGAAGGGGGTAAGGTTGTGGT
This sequence comes from Homo sapiens, assembly GCF_000001405.40. NCBI lineage: Eukaryota > Metazoa > Chordata > Mammalia > Primates > Hominidae > Homo > Homo sapiens. The sequence goes on along the minus strand of NC_000023.11, from coordinate 89,288,739 downwards.
CCCTGGCTAGGACTCCACACCCAGGCCTGTGGCCACAGACCTACATGAGGACAGGCATTTTTGTTTTCCTGCCCAAATGTTGCATTTCCCAAGACCACCCTGGCCTGCCACGGCCCCATCCTGTGCCTGTAAAAACCCCAAGATGCTAGCAAGCAGACACACAGGTGGCTGGACATCGAGAGGAGCACATCAGCGGAGGAACACACGGACGGTTGGATGTCGAGAGGAACACACTGAACATGCTGGCAGGCCACCGACCAGCAGAATGACACAGAGTTTGGTTGGGGCAGTTGGAGGAGAGTCCAGGCCTCCAAGTGGCCCGACTCTAGGGGAAAATCTTCTCCCTTCTGGCTCCCCCACTGCTGAGAGCTACTTCCATTCAATAAAACCTTGGACTCATTCTCCAAGCCCATGTGTGATCCAATTCTTCCCGTACTCCAAGGCAAGAACCCTGGGATACAGAAAGCCCTCTGTGCTTGCGATAAAGCAGGGGTCTAATTGAGCTAACACAGCTACCTATGCATGGCTAAACTAAAAGAGCACCCAGTAACACATGGTCACTGGGGCTTCAGCTGTAAACATTCACCCCTGGACACTGCCATGGGTCTCCCTGCCCATCTGTATGCTCCCCTAAAGGTTTGAGCAATAGAGCACTGAAGAAGCAAGCCACATCCCCATTTCACACCCTGCAAGAGGGACAAGGGAACTTTTCCCATTTCAGCAACATCATATATATATGATCATACATGATATATATATGATATATAATTTATATAATGTTGCAAATTATAAAATATATAAAATATATTAAGTAAAATTTCCTGACAAATATTTAAAATTGGGATAGTAGAAAGCATCCTTGTCTTTTTCCTAAATATAACATTTATTTTCACTGTTTCTCAGATAAGAATTTTGTTGGCTGTTGGTTAGTTATTCACCTCAAAAGAGTTTAAAGTTCACAGTTGGCAGAATTTCTTATAGTCTTAGTAGGACTGCCCGTCTCTGAGCATTGACATCATTTTCAACATGATTTAGGCAGCTAGCATAGACATCCACTTGCTTTTTGTAATGTAGTCTTTCCCTAGGATGAACATCACATCAACCTATTAGAAAATATATCGGCAAACTCAGAGAGTTCCTACTCATGGAGAGACCCTAAAATTATACTAATAATTAGAATAATTATTCACCTCCATGTAAATGACAATAGAGAAAATTATCTTTATGACTCTTGTCCTTGCTTACTTTGATGATCACAAGGGGGCCAAGACTCCAAAATTCTCTATCATAAAGTGGATCGATTTTTATCTTCTCATGGCAGTGTATATACCATAATATGTACCCATTTTCAATCTATTCTGAATGCCTTAAATCCTCTCACTGTGCTCTCTAATGGAAAAATGCTTCAATGTTTTCCTGGATGTATCCTTTACCTTCTTAAATTTTCTGGATGTCTCCAGAGGACAGTGTTTCCCCCAGGAGCTAAGATGAGTGAAAGAGATTCTATTACCTCACATTCTATGACCTAGTGGGCCTGAGAATATATTGTCTTAGTTTTTTTTTTTTTTTTGCCAATTCTGGACCATTATTCTTCCCTTCTAATTTACAAAAAGAAAAAATATCCTTTGAATTGCATGCCATACTATACTATATATTATATATGGTGTTAGTATAACATTTGTATTAGTCTGTTCTCACACTGCTGTAAAGATATTAGTCTGTTCTCACACTGCTATAAAGATACTACCCAAAACTGGGTAATATATAAAGAAAAGGGGTTTAATTGATTCACAGTTCTGCATGGCTGGGGAGGCATCAGGAAACTTACAATCATGGTGGAAGGGGAAGCAAGCACCTTCTTCTTAAGTCGGCAGAAGAGAGAAGAGTGAGTGAAGGAGGAACTTGCCAAACACTAATAAAGCCATCAGATCTTGTGAGTACTCACTACCATGAGAACAGCATGGGAGAAACCACCTCCATGATCCAATCACCTCCCACCAGGGTCCTCCCTCAACATCTGGGGATTACAATTCAAGATGAGATTTGGGTGAAGACACATGGGCTAACCATATCACTGTCTCTCTTTTTATTTATAGACTGGCTAATTATTTACATTTCTTCCTTCAGAATTTTATGTCTGACTTAATTTATATCCAACACCACTCTTGTCAGTTGTCAGGAATGTTAAAATAAAAAAAAAAATCCCTCAAACTGTTCTCTCAGTTTCTTGACTTCATTAGTGTCAGTGAGCTTTTCCTTTGTCCCACCTGTGACACCTCCACCTATGATCATAGACATTATTATTTTCATTAATTACATTTACAAAATCTCAATTTCAATAAATCTATTCACCAGTCACAATATCCTATCTTTGTAGGTCATAGCCTCTAGCATCCCTTTCCAACAATTATTTGACTCTATTGGAATCAAACTTATTTACATTACCACCTTTTCACTTTTCAATGTTTTCTGCATGTATTACTTTCCCTTATTACCCACTTTAGAGTTCATGTTCTTTCATTGCAATCTCTGCCTTGTATGTACATGCCACTTGCCTGTTTGTTCCTCTCTTGCTCACACTTTTTATTTCTCTATTGTAGTTACCTGGAAGACCCTCAACTCTAGTTAATCTAACTCTCTACTTAGTCTGTACCTATAACAAAAATAACAGGTCTGGAAAAAGAAAACAAACAAACAAAGAAATAACAAGAAACTCAAGCTGAAAGGTTTCAAGTTAATTTATGACCAAAGAAATAAAGTGAATTTTCCTGCTGCTTAGCAATCATACTATCTGTCCTAAATTCACTTGATCTTCAAGACAAACATGGAGTGAATTAAAACTAAATTAACATGTCCAAATATGTATCATTGAGTATGTAGGTTATATGTGAACCTGTAAATTCTACTTGGCAGAGTAACTCTCACAGTTAATTTTAACTTTATAAATGTTCATATGGAGTGTTCATGTCACAGAGCAGATGTCAATCCTGTGTTTTAACACTTCCTAGAGATTTTTATAGCATATTGCCATTGATGGTTGAAATCAGACATTTTTCATTCTGCTCCCAGTTTCCTATAGCTTGTAAATTATAGATTGTACAAACACAAGTTCTTAATGCACTTCCACAATAAAAAAAAAAAAGCATGCATTGTGATACTGAGGATCTGCTTGACTATAACTGAGGAGTGTCCAATCAAAGCTTTGAACAGACTGACCAATCCTGCACTGTGTAGGGTGCTCATTAATAATTTGTAATTAATGATGGAAGTGAGACAGTCTAATACTGTTGTAAACCGAAGGTGTTGAAGCCTTCTTGTAGCTTCGCATCAAGGTTAAAAGATTCCATCATCAAATCCATATTTGTCACCCCTGTCCGAAATGTTCTCTGTTGGGGAGATGGCCAAGATGGCCAACTAGAAGCAGCTAGTGTGCATGGCTCTCATGGAGAGAAAAGGAAGGGGTGAGTAAATACAGCATTTTCAACTGAAACATCCAGGAGCGTGCATAAGGACTAATCAAGAAAACAACTTGACCCACGAAAAATGGAGAAAATCAAAGCAGAATGATGGCCTACCCAGGAGTGACATGGAGCCAAGTAACCTCCGCCACCCAAGGAAGTGGTGAGTGAAAGTGTGACTGCAGGAACCCACGCTTCTTCCACAGATCTTTGCAACCCTTGGGTCAGGAGATTCCCCTCATGAACCCACTCCACCAGGGCCTTCAGTCTGACACACAGAGCTATGCGGAGTCTTTGCTGAGCATCTGCTCAGGCACATGTGGAGACCCAGGAGCCTTAGATACTCAGGCTTTCTGGGCTTCCCAGAAAAATTACTTGCAATTCCAGCAAAGTGAAAGGTTAGACCACCTGTACATATCCCTAGGAAAGAGGCTGAATCCAGGGAGCTGAGCAGTGACTGTCCGCAGGTCCCACTACCAAGGCACCTCACAGAATAAAACTCTGGCTTGGAATTTCAGCCAGCCACTGATAGTAATATTGCGACTGGGATGGAGCTCCTGGGGGTAGGGGTAGGCCACCATCTTTGCTGTTTGGGAGACAGCCGTTCCACCCTGTGGTCTTTGGAGAGTCTAAGCTGACCAGAAACAGGAGGGATCCTACAGCACATCACAACTGCTCTATGAAAATACCGCCAGACTGCCTTTTTAAGAAGATCCCCTCTCCCATTCCTTTTCAGTGTGCAGGACTTCCAACTGGGGTCTTTAGCCACCCCCACTGGTGTTCTCCAGTTGACAGAGATTTGAAGCCTCCCTAGAATGGAGCTCCCAGAGGGAGGGATGGGCTGCCATCTGTGCCGTTTGAGTGACACAGCTATTCTGGCCTTTGGAGAGTACAAGGTGACTAGGGGCTGAAGTGGACCCCCTGCACAGCACAACTGCCTTATGAAAACATGGCCAGATTGCTTTTTTAAGCAGTTCCCCCAATCCTGTTTCTCATCGTCAGTGGGGCCTCCCAACCCGGATCTCCAGCTATCCCCCAGTGTTCTCTGGCTGACAGAGGTTTCAAAGTCTCCAGGGATGGGGCTCCCAGAGGAGGGGTGAGCTGCCATCTTTGCTGTTTGAGTGACTTAGCTATTCCGACCTTTGGGCTTTGGAGTGTCTGAGGTGACTGGGGGCTGAAGTGGACACCCAGCATAGCACAGCTGCTCCACCAAAACATGACCAGGCTGCTTTTTCAAGCAGGTCTGCCAATCCTGTTCCTCCTCACTGGGTGGGAACTCCCAACCGTGGTCTCTAGCTACCTTCCACAGGTGTGTTCAGGCCAAAAACAGGTCTGGAGGAGAAGGCTGCCATCTTTGCTGTTACACAGCCTTCACTGGTGATACCTCCAGGTATTGGAAAATCTAAGGTGACTAGGGACTGGAGTGAGCCCCCCAGCATACTGCAGCAGTCCAATGGAAAAGTGACCAGACTTAAGTGGGGGCTTGGTCCCACGTCTCCTCACTGGTGAGGTCCTCCATGCCTGGGCCTCCAGCCACCCCCACCAGAGCTACTGAGCCAGTAGCAACTGAGAAAATTCCTGGACAGAGCCTCCAGGGACAACTGAAAACTTCTCTGCCACGGCCTCTGGAGTGGAACTGATCTTTCTACCCTCAGACTAACAAAGGAGCAAAGACCCTAAGTCCTTTATCCACACCTCCAATGTGCTGCAGTTAACCCAAGGAGAGGAAGCCAGTCCATGTCCCACAGGTCCCACACCTGTGTGTGTGTGTATGTGTATGTGTGTGTACACACACACACACACACACACAAACACACAATGTGGAAGATTAAATAAAGCTAAATTAACTATTACATCACTTGCTATCACTTTTAATGAGAAATTTGAATTGCATTCTCTTAACAATTTTTAAATATACATTAATATTAACTATATATAGTTAATATAATTTTAAAATACATTATTAAAATACATATTATGTATTAAAAGTACATATTATTGTATTGTAATAATAGAAATATACATTATTATTAACTATATATGTGTGTGTGTATATATATATGCTGGATTTCTGTGTCTACTATTTCCATATTTGTTCCATGTGTACCCACTGCTTAACTCCTAAAGGTGAGATTATGAAGTATTTGTTTTTCTGTTTTTGAGTTATTTCATTTAGGTTAATGGCCTCCCGCTCCATCCATGTTGCTACAAAGGCATTATTATTTTTTATGGCTGCATGGGATTTCATGCTGTATATATATACCACATTTTCTTTGCACAATCAACCATGGACTGACACTTAGGTTGATTCCATGACTTTGTTACTGTGAATAGGACTGCCATAAACATATGAGTGCAGGTGTCTTTTTGGTGGAATGATTTCTCTTCCTTTGGAGAGAGAAGCAGCAGTGGGGTTGCTGGGTCAAATAGCAGTTCTGTTTTTAGTTCTTTGAGAAATCTGGATACTGATTACCTTAGGGGTTGAACTAATTTACAGTACAAGTAATGGTAAATAAGTGTCCCTTTTTCTCTACATCCTCACCAACATCTTTTATTTTTTGAGTATTTAATAATAGCCATTCCAACTCTTATGAGATGGATTTCATTGTGGTGTTAATTTGCATGTATATGATGATTTGTAATATTGAGTCTTTTTTCATATATTTGTTGACTCATTATATGTCTTCTTTGAGAAGTGTCTGTTCATCTCCTTGCTCACTATTTGATGAGGTTATTGGTTTCTTAGTGTTGATTTGTTTAAATTCCTTATAGATTATGAATATTAGTCATTTATCAGACTCATAGTTTGCAAATATTTTCTTCCACGCTGTAGGTTACCAATTTAGTCTGTTGTTAGTGTCTTTTGTTGTGCAGAAGCCCTTTTATTTAATTTTAACTTGTATATTTTTGTTTTTGTTGCACTGGCCTTTGATGCCTTAGCCATAAATTCTTTATCTAGGCCAATGTCCAGAAGACATTTTCCTAGGTTTTCTTCCAGAACTTTTTGAGAATCCAGTCTAAAATGTAAACTTTTACTCCATCTTGAGTTAATTTTTCTATGCAGTGGGAGATAATGGTCCAGTTGCATTATTCAACATTTAGCTAGCCTGTTCTTCCTGAAGCATTTATTGAATAGGATGTCCTTTCCCCAATGTTTACTTGTGTTTACTTTGTCAAGAATCAGTTAGTTGTAGGTATGTGGCTTTATTTCTGGTTTCTTTTTCTATTCTATTGATTTATGTGTCTATTTTTGTCCCTGTGCAGTGCTGTTTGGGTCACTATCTCCTTGTAGCATAGTTTGCAGTCAGGCAATGTGATGTTTCCAACTTTGTTCTTATTGCTTACGATTGCTTTGGCTATCTTGGGCTCTTCTTTGTTTCCATATGAATTTTAGAATTGTTTTGTCTAACTCTGTGAAAAACGATGTTGGTATTTTCATAAGAATTGTATTGAATCTGTAGAATGCTTTGGGGTGTATATTCATTTTAATCATATTGATTCTATCCATGGGCATAGCATGTTCGTTCATTTGTGTTGTCTACAATTTATTTCATCAGTGTATTGTAGTTTTCCTTATATAGGTCTTTCACCTTCCTGGTTAAAGGTATTCATAGATATTTTTGTGGCTATTTTAACTAAGATTGATTTATTGATTTGGCTCTTAAATTGAGCATTGTTGGTGTATAGAAATGCAACTAGTATTTGTGCATTAATTTTGTATCCTAAAACTTTGTTGAAGTTGTTTATCAGATGTGAAAGTCTTCTGGAGCAATCTTCAGATTTTCCAGATATAAGATCATCTGATCAGCAAACAGAGATAATTTGATTTTCTCTTTTCCAACTTGGATGTTTTTTGTTTTCCTCCCTAGTTTCTCTGGATAGGGCTTTCAGTACTATGTTGAAGAAAAGTGATGAGAGTGGACATCCCTGTCTTATACTAGTTCTTAGGAGGAATGCTTTCAATTTTTCCTCATTAAGTATGATGTTGGCTGTGGGTTGTCATACATGGCTGTTACTAATTTGAAATATATTCGTTTGATGCCTATGTTGTTGAGGGTTTTTATCATAAAGGGATGCTGAATTTTATCTGCAACTATTGAGATGATCATGTGCTTTTTGTTGTTATTTCTGAATATGTTGTAAATAACACATTTTCATATGTTGAACCATCCTTGCATTTCTGGGATAAACCCCACTTGATGATGATAAATTATGTTTTTGGCTTGCTGGTAGATACTGTTTACCAGTATTTGGTTGTGAATTTTGTGTCTATGTTTATCAAGAATATTGACCTAAAGTTTACTTTTGTGTTGCATTCTTGCTAGATTTTGGTGTCAGAATAATACTGGTTTCATAGAATGAGTTAGGGAGGCATGTCTACTCCTTTATTTTTTGTAGTAGTTTTAGTAACATTTGTACCAGATTTTGTTGTACTCCTGGTAGAATTTAGCTCTAAATCCATATGATCCTGGGCTTTGGTTGGTAGATGTTTTATCACTGATTCAATTTCATAACTCATTATTGGCATAGAAAATTCCTGGAAACATGCAAACTTCCAAGATTGAACCAGGAAGAAATAGAAATCTATGTCTAATCTATTTCTTCCTGGTTCAATCTTGGAAGTTTGCATGTTTCCAGGAATTTTTCCATTTTCTTTATGCTCTCTAGTTTGTGCATGTAGAGATGTTCACAGTAATCTTTGATCGTCTTTTGTATTGCTGTGGTATCAGTTGTAATATAACCTTTATCATTTCTAATTGTGCCTATTTGAATTGCTTTTCTTAATCTAGCTAGCTGTCTATCAATTTTGTTTATACTTTCAAAAAAACAAACTTGTCATTTTGTTGATCCTTTGTATTATTTATTTGGCCTTAATTTCATTTAGTTCTACTATGATTTTTGTTATTTTTTTCTTCGACTGTCCTTGGGTTTTGAATTGTTTCTGTTGTTCCAGTGCTTTGAAGTGTGATATTAGGTTGTCACTTGAAATCTTTTATCTTTTTGAAATAAAAATTTAGTTTTAGAAACTTTCCTTTTAATACTACTTTTGCTGCATCTGAGAAGTTTTGGTGTGCAGTGTCTATATTTTCATTTGTTTCAAAAAATTTTAATTTTTGCCTGAATTTTATTGTTTACACAAAGTCATTCAAAAACAAGTTGTTTATTTTCCTTGTTCTTGTATGGCTTTGAGGACTCCTCTTGGTATAGATTCCTAGATTTATTCCACTGTGGTCTGAGAATATACTTGATCCGATATAGTGATAGATTTTTAAAAGTATATTGAAACTTGCTTTATGGACAAGTATATGATTAGTTTTGGGGAATTAATCTGTGAATTTTCATCTGTGCATGAAATCCATAAATTGACTATATTTCATGCACAGATTAGAAAAATGTATATTGTGCCATTGTTGGATGAAATATTCTGATTTATCTATTAGTTTCAATTGGTCAAGAGTACAGTTTAAGACCAGAGTTTGTTACTTTTCTGCATCAAATATTTTTCTACTGCTGTCAATGAAGTATTGAACTCCCGTCTATTATTTTATGAATGTCTATCTCTTTTCTTAGTCATATTAGCATTTGTTTTATAAATCTGGCTTTTTTGGTGTTGGGTGCATATATATTTAGAATAGATAAACCTTCTTGTTGAATTGAACCCTATATCATTACACAGTGCCTTTTTTGTCTGTCTTTACTGTTGTTTGTTTAAAGTCTGGCTTATGTGGTGTGATACAAGAATAGCAACCTTGCTCTGTTTTGTTTTCCATGTATGTGAAATATATTTCTTCACTCATTTACTGTGAGCCTATGGATGTCATGACACTTTAAGTAGGTCTCTTAAAGGCAACATATGGTTGGGTCTTGTGTTTTATTTTTTAAATCCAATTTGCCATTCTATACCTTTTAGTGGAACATTTAAGCTATTTACATTAAAGGATAATATTGATATGTGAGGTTTTGTTCCTGTTATACTGTTGTTAGCTAGTTGCTGTAGTCTCAATTGTATAATTACTTTATAGGATCTGTGAAGTTTATATTTACATGTGCATTTTGATAGAAGTATGATCTTTTTTATTTCCATGCTGAGAACTCATTTGAGCATTTCTTTGTATGTACAATCTAGTGGTGGCATGATGACAAATTATCTTAGTGTTTCCTTGTATAGGAAATACATTTTTTCTGCTTTATTTATGAAGCTTTGTTTGGCAGGATATGAAAATTTTGGATGGCATTTCTGTTTCTTTTAGAAGGCTCAAAATAGAGCAACATTCTCTTCTGTTTTCTGTGGAGCAGTCTGTTGACAGTCTGATGGGATTATCTTTGCATGGGATTTGTCCCCCTTTCTCTATCTGCTTTATGATTTTTTTCAGTACGTTTGACCTGGGATAGTCTGGATGGCTATATGTCTTGGTGATGTTCATCTTGTGTAGTATCTTGCAGTTATCCTCTGAATTTTTTGTATCTGGATGTTTATCTCTCTAGCAATATTAGGGTAATGTTCCTGAATTATTGCCACAAATATGTTTTCCAAATTGCTTACTTTTTGTTCTTCTCTCTCAAGAATGCATATAAATCATAGGTTTGGTCACATTTCCTCATCTCATATTTCTCAAAGGCTTTGTTGATTTTTAAAAATTATTTAAAAAATATTTTCTGATTGGATTAATTTGAAAGACCAGTTTTCAAATTCTGGAATTCTTCTGTTTGATCTAGTCAACTTTTGAAGGTTTCAATTCTATTTGAATTTTCTTTTATTTTTTAATTCCAAAAGTTCTATATTTTTAACATAGATATCTCATCTTCCCTATCCTGAATCATTTCTCTGTTTTTTTTTGTTTGTTTTTAATGTTCTATTTCATCTCTTTGAGCTTCATTATAATCCATATTTTGAATTCCTTATTTCTCATTTCAGAATTTTCATTTTGTTTAGGATCTATACTGAGATAGCGAGTACATTCTGCTGGAGATGTTGAAACAATCTGTCTTTTTCTACTGCCAGAGTTCTTGCAATGATTTTTTTCCTCCTCTGAAGCAGTGTCACTTCTCAGTTTTGTGTTTGCTATCATTTGGATGGGACTTCTTTATTATTTATTCTTTTTTTCCCTTGAGGTTGTTACTGTGGTGTATCTTGTGTAAAATCATTTGGTTTTATTTCTGGATGTTTTCAAGGTGCACAGGTTTTGTATGGGTTCCTTAGTTGTGGATAGCTCTTTTGCAATAATTTTCCCAAATGCATCTTGTTGTACCAATGTATTGAACATATGATCTGACTATCTCCTGTGGGTCCAAGAATGCAGAAATCTCAGGAAGCTTATATCATACACTGGCACTATGCCCTTTTAGTAGTAAGTTTTGTATTTGGTAGTGAAGTTTACTCTCCAGTAGAGTAAATGGTGCTTTAGAGTAAGAGCCAGCTCACTCTCTGGTAGCTTGATAATAAATATAGGCATCTACTTTCTTGGGGAGCACTGAGGGGGAGATCATGTTGGAATGCACTGAAGTGTCCAGGATAGGAATAAGGGGGTAAAGGCTGCACCAGCTTCTCATCCTGGGCAGGCAGAAATACAATCTTCTTCCTTATGATGCCCCATAACAGGGCTCTTGACCTTCAATTCATATGGATACTGTTCTTTGGCTCCTAACTGAAGTGTGACTAGAGTCTGTATTATTTCCCCTCTGGCAGCTACCATCAAAACAAGCTCGAGGCAGAGATACATCCCTCAGTCCAGCACAGAAAGTTCTGTGACTTGTCTGCCTGCTGTTGCCAGGATTTTATTGCTCTGTGTAAAAGGGGAAGATGGGCCTCATATTTTGTGCATGCCCATTCAGTATGGTCTTACTTGCAATGGGAGTGAAACCACTGTATAAAGCAATGGGAAGGTTGTCTCCAAGTAGACTCACACCAAACCCCAGTGTGAGAGCCTCTACTGTGTCTGTGACAGTCGATGGGGCAGCACAAGATTACCCCTTCTCCACGTCTGTTCCCAGTCACTGGTGCTACCACCCTCAGTGATTGGTGTTTTGTTTACATTTCCTTTGTCCCAAGGTGGCTTTGATGGTCTATGTTCTCCCTGCTCCATAGGGGTGGCCCCTGCTGAAGGCTAGATCTTCAGGGATTATGCAGCTTCGCAGAAACTCGGCAGTCTCCTCTCATTGCCAAAGTCGGAGCAAGTTTTGGGGTATGTTTGCAGGATATCTGGTGATGCAATGATATAAGAGCTGAGTTTCCCTAGACAAAGCAGTGGCTCACATTGGGTACACAAACAGTATGTCTCCGACCATCTCGGTTCAGCCCTGAGAAGAATGTGGGTGCATCTGTGTGAACTGACCGCACAGTGCTCTGTCCCTGGCAATTTCCCAAACAGCCACCAAAAGCATTGCCCAGGGTAACTAAGACAGAAGGCCTCCCCAACCATTTAGTGGTCAGCAGATTGTTGCAGGCATGAGGAAAGTACAGAAGCACTCGAACCTGTCCTTTTCATGGAGCTCCGAGTTCTTTGGGGGATTAATTTTTGCAATATACTTAATATATTTGCTGTTTGCCTTTTAGGCACACCAGCTGTTTCCCCTGGGCTCTCAAAGAGATCCAGGCCTTCTTTCTTCAGCTTTCCATTCAAATCACGGCCACTCATTTGTAACTTTGATCTTTCTGAGGAGACCTGGAATCTGACATCCCTAATCAGCCGTCTTAAAAACAAACAAACAAACAAAAACAAACCTGCTGCATGTTAGAAGAACAGTTTTTCCAATTAAAGTAACTAAAGTATTCTTTATTGCCAGTTTTTATATTATTTCTTTCAAAACTTTGAATATTTCATACCATTCTTTCCTTCAGGGTTTCTGTTAAGAAATCCATTGATAGTATGTCAGGACTCCCTTGTATGTGACGTAGTTCTTATCTCTGGATCTGGATTTTTCTTATTCAAAAATTTTTACTCCTTCAGTGCCAGGCAGAGCCTACACCCACGAACTCAGCAGGAAGCAGTTATAGAATACAGATCTCCATCCTTTTGTGAACCCCTTGAGTTTAAAAATAAGTATCTAATCTCTGAGTGAGGAATGAGGTAGGAGGCAGGATTTTACTCTGGATCAGACTGAAGACTGGCTGAAACAGGGAAGAGGCACCCAAAGCACGTCTTCATAAGACTTGCCCACCAGTGCCATGTCAATTTGCCATTGCCATGGCAACACCCGGAAGTTACATCTCCATTCCATGGGAATGACCTTGAAATTACCAACCTTTTTATAGAAAATTCTGAATAACCCACCCCTTCATTTGCATGTAATTAAAAGTTGGTTATAAATATGACTGCAGAGCTGCCCCTGAGCTGCTCTGTGGGGTAGATTTGCTCTGCAGGAGTAGTCATGGAGCTGTAACACTGCCACCTCAATAAAGCTCTTTTAATTACCACTGGCTCACTCTTGAATTCTTCTTTAAAGTGAAGCCAAGAAAGTTTCCATTCTAATCCCCAATTTTTTGGCTCATCTGCCTTACTTCACTATAAGAAAGCACCAAAAACTGGGTAGCTTAAAAGACTATAATGCATTCTTTCACAGTTCTAGAGGTTAGAAGTGCAAGATCAAAGTATTGGCAGAACTGCTTTCTGCTGACTACTGTGAGAAAGAATTTGTTTCATGACTCTTGCCTAACTTATGATGGTTTACTGTTGATCTTTGGTGGCTCTTCACTTGCAGAAGCATCACTCATATCTCTGCCTTTATCATCACATGAAATTTTCCTTGTGTGTTATCTAGGCCCAAATATTTTTATAAAGGACACCAATCATGTTGGATTAGACTATCACCCTACTCCATTATAACATCATCATAACTAATTACATGGTTAATCATTGTGTTTACAAATAAGGCCACATTTGGAGGTACTGGGAGCTGGGACTCCAACATAAAAATGTTGGAATACTTCAATTAATAAACAGGCTACTTACTTCATAAAAAGAAATGATAGCCATGTATATTGCTAAGAATGAAATAATCATCCTTATTGTTCATGAAAAAATATGTTTCCTCTACTATTGTGCAATCAAAGTAACTATTGTCTCTTTTATCATTGTTTTATGTCAGACAGAAAGAAATTATCTCCTTGGCATCAGATTAATGAATGTCAACATTAAATTTTGCAATAAATGATTGGCAGGGAGTTCAAATACATAGTTTGAGAACTGGTATAACTGAATAGCTGTATTTTTCAGAAACTGTAATGAATAAAATAAAACAATCACTTACAAAAAATAATTTTGTTCTATATTACATCCAGAATCTATTAGTAACTTAAACAACCCAACAAGCAGAAACCAAATAAGCCCATTAAAAAATGGGCAGAGCACATCAACAAATGATTCTCAAAAGAGCACATACAAGTGGCCAATAAACATAGAAAACTATGCTCATCATTGCTAATCATCAGAAAAATGCAAGCTGAAACCACAGTGAGATACCATTTCACAACAGTCAGAATAGCTTTTGCTGAAAAATAAAAGTAAATAAATAAAAATGTTGGCTTGGCTGCAGAGAAAAGAGAACACTTATACACTGTTGGTGAGAATTTAAATTAGTTCAGTCACTCTGGAAAGCAGTTTGGAGATTTCTCAATAAACTGAGAGTTGAACTACCATTCAACCCAGCAATCCCACTCCTGAGTGTATACCCAAAATAAAATCCACCATCCTACCAAAAAGACACATGTATCCATACTTTCATCACAGTGGTATTCACAATAACAAAGTAATGGAATCATCCTAGGTGTCCATAAATGGTGAATTAGAAAAGGAAAATATGGTATATATGCACCATGGAATACTATGCAGCCATAAAGAAGAAATAAGTTATGTCCTTTGCAGAAACATAGATACAGCTGGAAACCACGATCTTAAGTGAACTAATGGAGAAACAGAAAACCAAATGCCACAAGTTCTCACTTATAAGTAGAAGCTAAACATTGGACACACACAATCATAAAAATGGGAACAGTAGACGCTGGAGATTTCAAAAAGTTAGAGGGAGGAAGTGGGGTAAATGTTGAGAAAAACTACCTATTGGGTACCATGCTCACTACCTCAGTGATGGATTAATTTGTACTCCAAACCACAGCATCACACAATATGCCATTGTAACAACACTTCACATATACCCCTAATTCTAAAACAAAAGTTGCAAAAATATTAAAATTATAAAATATATTCTTTTAGCAACAAAAAGGTAAAATTATTTAAAATAAAAATAAGTAAAATCCAAAATCAAAAGACTTAAAGTAGTTGAATGGATATTTAAAAAAACAAACAAATAAACAAACCTATGTGCTGTCTAAAAAATCCATACTTGAGATTTAGGGACTTAGGCTGAAAGGCGAGGAATAGAAAAAGATATTCTATGCAAATGTAAATAAAAGAAACGAGGGTGGCAATACTTATATTAGACAAAATAGACTATAATTCAAACACTGTAACAAGAGACACAAAAGGACATATAATGATGAATTCCTCAGGAAGGCCCAACAATTATAAACATGTATGTACATCTATTCAGAGGAACTAAAAATATCAAAAAGACAGAATAAAGAGATAAACTGCAATACAATAATAACTGAAAACTTCAATACCCCACTCGTAATACCAAATACATGATCCAAATAGAAAATAAAGAAATAACAGACTTCAAATCATTAAAGACCAAATGGACCTACCAGTCATATACAAAACATTCCATCCAACAGCAGAAAAATACACATTCTCAAAATGTCTTAACAAATTTTAAAAGAATGAAATCATACTAAGTATCTTTTTCTCCACAATGGAATGAAACCAGAAACCCATAAGAGAAGGAAAATTAGAATACTCAAAAATATGAGGAAATTAAAAACACAATTCTGAACAATCAATGGGTCAAAGAAGAAATAAAAAGAGAAATCAGAAAATATCTTAAGATAAATTAAAATGAAGATACATAATACTAAAACTCATGGGATACAGCAAAAGCAGTACTAAATGGGAAGTTTGTTATGGTAAATGCCTACATTAATAAAGAAGATTGTCTCTGATCCAGGAGTCTTGTAAAAAATGAAGAAAGGAAGATCACAAATTAACAATCTAACTTGATACCTCAAAAACAACAATAACAAACTAAGCCAGAAGTTAGCAGAAGAAAGAAAATGGTACTATCTGAAACAAAAAATAATAATAATAAAATAAAAATTAGAACAAATCAATGAAACTGAGTTTTTTAATCAACAAAATTGACAAACATTTAACTAGACTAAGAAGAAAAGAGAGAAGACTAAAATTAATAAAATTAGAAATTAAAAGAAGACATTACAATTCTTTCCACAGAAATAAAAAAGAATCACAAACATTGGTATGAGCAATTATACAATAAGAAATTAGATAACTTGGAAGAAATGGAGAAATTCCTAGAAACATACAACCTACTAAGACTGAATTTTTAAGAAATCAAAAACCTAAAATGACCAACGACAAGTAAGGAAATTTAATTAGTAATCAAACACCTCCCAACAACGACAAAACAACCTCAAGACCAGATGTCTTCATGGATGAATTTTATCAAACATTTAAAGAATACATAAAACCAATCACACTCAAATTCTTCCAAAAAATTTAAAAGGAGGGAACACTTTCAAACTCATTTTATGAGTCCAGCATTATTCTAATATCAAAGTCAGACAAAGACACTACAAGAAAAGTAAACTTCAGACCAATATTTCTGATGAACGTATTTGCAAAAACCCTGAAGAAAATACAAGCAAATCAAATTTAATAACATATTTAAAAATGTACACTGTGACCAAGTGGAATTTATCCCTGGGGTGCAAGGATGGTTAAACATACAGAAAGACATTAATGTGATATATCACATTAACAGAATGAAGGATAAAAACCACATGTACATCTTGATAAATGCAAAAAAGTGTTTGACAAAATTCAACACACTTGAGTCATAAAACTCAACAAACTACATATAAAAGAAGTTTATATCAACATAGCAAAGGCCGTATATGACAGGTTCTCAGCTAACATCATAGTTAATGTTAAAAAACTGAATGCTTTTCCTCTAAGATCAGACACATGACAAGGATCCGTACTCTTGCCACTTCCATTTAGCAAAGCACTGTAAGTTTTAACCAGAGCAATTAGGCAATAAATAGAATAAAAAGCCATCCAATTTGAGAGGAAAGAAGTAAAATACTCCCATTTGCAGATGATGTGATCTTATATGTATGTAGGAAACCTGAAGATTCCACTAAAAACCTGTTATGCTACAAAAAAAATTCAATAAGGTTGCAGGACCTAACATCTACATACAAGAGTTACTTGCATTTTATACACTAAGTTATTTGTAAAATAAATTATTAAAATAATCCCATTTCTAATAGTGTCAAAATATTTGTGTATGAACTCAAACAAGGAGGTGAAAGATGATTTTGAGACAGGTGGGAAGGGGTCGCTGGAGAAACTCCAACCAGCCTGCCCACTGAGGTGGAGTCTCCGAATTTCACCACATTTGCAGCAGGGAGGAGCCTGGCCCCTCCTCTTCCAGTGTGGAAACAGATTCAAATGGCCTGGCTAGAAGCACTGTAGCAGGCCCTCTGGCCTTGTGACAGTCCCTATTTCCCCCTTTTCTTCCTTTTCACCCAACAAAACCCTGCTTCACTCATCCTTCAAACATGGGACAGACAAGGACCCCATCTTTACCTGAACTAAGGAAAAGTCTTGCAATATTTTTGGTGCACAATATGGAGGCTCGAGAAGCGGTGTGTAAAATGGGGACTCAAAATCTCTCACTGGTTTCTCAGCCTTTTCATCCTTGGACTTCTGAGCTTACGGGGAACTGCACCCCCACACCCTGTTGCAACCGGGGGTCGGCCAGCCGCTTCCCCCTCCAGGCTGGGGCTGGGTCGCATGGCCCAAGGGTCTCACACAGCTGGCTGTGCTGGTTCCCAGCCTCAAGCTGCCTCAGCCTTCTCCTTCCCCAGCCAAGGGGTTTTCCTTCTCCATCAGACAGTAATTAAACTTTTCTCCCTGGTGGAGGAACCAGTTGCATAAGAGTAAGAGATTCTTCCCCAGGCAGTCTAAAACTCTTTCTTTTTTCCTCTTCTCCATCCTGTCCGCAGTTAACTTTATTTTATTTTTTTTTTCTTTTAGGACACATTTTACCAGGCCATACCCCACTCCCCCCCACCCCCCACCAACTATCACTGTGAGTATTCTCTGCAAAGTTTTCGTTGTGAAATCAATCTTTCATCTTGTTTTACATCCTGAGGGCGTGGCTTGTAACTCCAGTGTCAAGGCTTTGTTTAGCAATCCTGCCTTAGGAAGTAAGTTTCTGGTTTGATACCCGCATGTTTTCCTAGCCCTGTCTCTTAGAGGGCCCCACCCAGCAACTAGGTTTTCTTCTGCCTGTGTGTGTACTGTGCGTGATATCTGTAAAAAGAGATATCTAATTAATTTGGCCTAAAGAAAGACAAGCGCTTGGATCTAATATTTTTTACAGGGAAGTTAAAAGCTGTGGAACCTTTCAGTTCATGTGATTTTAATCTTTGAGAAACAAAAACAGCCCTTAAGACCATTGGCAAAATGCACGTCAGATGCAAGATTTGCCAAGTGTTTTGAGGTTAAAAACTGCTTTTTGGCTTTTGGGAACTATTTGACTTGCTGGCTTCACAATTGGTAAGGCCTGGGGACATATGGAACTAACAACGCCCTTAACTAAGAAGGCAAAGCTTGACTGCAGTTAGCACACAATAAAAGCAACTTACCAAGTTTTACCTTAAAGTTAAAAATTTCCAGGAGTTAATTGAAACTACTAGAAATAGATTTACATGCAAGGTGTATAAGAACAGTAAAATGTGTTTTTTAGTAAAAGGTTATAAGAAGGCATGGAAATGTAAACCTTTGCCTAGAGTTAAAGGACTGTTTTGAGTTAAATTAGGAAAAAGCTGAAGGTTCAAAGAAGTGGTGGAAGAATTGTGGGAATTAATCTTGCAGAAGAGGTTCTCTGTGTGAACATATTGACTAAATTCAAAAAAAGGGTATTATATGGTTTGTCTGTAAATTGAGCATTGAAATAAAAGCATAACAAGGTTTTCCTACGGTACTAATCTGCTTTTTGGCAAAATTTATAAAAGGTTATGAAAGGTTTCTCCTTCTTTAAAACTTGAGTCATCATTTTATCAAAATAAATAACTTATGGTAATCTGGAATTCTATTTCTTAATATCAAGTGTTTTAAACCTCGAACATTTAACAGCCTTCCCCAAATCAAACTTGTGTTGCACAATTGTCTTCTGTGGCACCTGGCTTTTCAGAGGGCTACTGTGGCTACTTCAAAGGGCCCCCAAAGTGTCCAGAAAAGAGAGGTAAACAGGATTATTTCACATGTTTAGGTACCCGAGATGGCCAAAATGATGTTCAGTCTTCTTTAGGTTATATCTTGGTGAATAATGCTAATATATGTTTCAAAATTGTATGGGATTTCTAAAATTCTAATGTCTGAGTATATGCTTTTGAAAGGTGAAGCCAGCTGGGCTTCTGGGTGGGGTGGGGACTTGGAGAACTTTTGTGTCTAGCTAAAGGATTATAAATGCACCAATCAGTGCTCTGTGTCTAGCTAAAGGATTGTAAACACACCAATGAGCACTCTGTAAAAACGCACCAATCAGAACTCTGTAAAATGGACCAATCAGCACTCTGTAAAATGGAACAATCAGCAGGATGTGGGTGGGGCCAAATAAGGGAATAAAAACTGGCCACCGGAGCCAGCAGCAGCAACCCGCTCCAGTCCCCTTCCATGCTGTGGAAACTTTGTTCTTTTGCTCTTCATAACAAATCTTGCTGCTGCTCACCCTTTGGGTCCGCACTACCTTTATGAGCTGTAACACCGTGAAGGCTTGTGGCTTCACTCCTAAAGTCAGCAAGATCACGAACCCACAAGGAGGAACAAACAACTCCGGACCAGCCACTTTTAAGAGCTGTAACACTCACTACAAAGGTCTGTGGCTTCACTTCTGAAGTCAGCAAGACCATGAACCCACTGGAAGGAAGAAACTCTGGACATATCTGAACATCTGAAGGAACAAACTGCACACACACCATCTTTAGGAACTGTAACACTCACAGTGAGGGTCTGCGGCTTCATTCTTGAAGTCAGTGAGACCAAGAACCCATCAGAAAGAACCAATTCTGGACACACTATCAATCATAATTAAGGTTTTTATGTTACGTTATTGTAAACCACGGAGATAACCAAATTTTTTTTCAATCGCGTATCTAACTGTAACTACCCTGGACATTTTGCTATTCACAGACAATTGTTGTCTTGTTTTAATTTTTTTTAAAGATGGTTTCTAATGAGCTACAGAACTATAAAAGGTGCTCCCAAGTACAGGCTGCTGGTAACTTTGTAAATTGTAACAATGGAATAAAGGAAAATGTAAGGACTAAGGAAGAACTGAAATGTTCATGAATATCAAGCAAAACAAGAGTTAACTAAATGAACTGAACTCAGAAAGCTGAAGAAACCTTTTTGATTTTTGGTTGGAATATTGCTGATCCTTGTTTTGTTTTTCATAGTGAAGGAAACTTATTTTGAACTATTTACAGTCTTCAATAATTGAGTAAGATAAACTCCTATGAACAAAATTTGGAGCATGTTTGTTACTCTCTGCCTGGTTACTCTAAAATTTAGAAACTCTCTGTGAGTATTCCTAACTTATGGCAATATAATTGCATCAGTGCAAGAAGAATTCATTTTTCTTTTGTAACAGAACACAACTTGAGAAAGTGGTCATTTTATCAAGTCTTAGATTGGAAGGGTATGCTTCCCTTTGAAGAGTCAAGCTCAACTTACAGAGCCAGTAGAAGCCCAGTGGGGAAACTGGCCTCATATCCTTGTTTGTGCAGCCCTTGTACAGGGTTCCTGACTTATTGTCAGTAAAGAATGTCAGTTTCAAACAGGTGTAGGAGCTCCAAGTTTATCTTGGAACCTTAAGAGGTGAGGATCACCCTACTCACAGGTATTTGAAGATACAAACCCATGGTTTGGCTTGGCTTTAAAAGGTCTTATTTGAGATTCCTTGTGGAAAAGAGAGAATTCCATCAAAGGTAATCCAAAAGGCCTATGTAGAAATAATTATTCTTGCTCCACTTTATGCAAATAATCAGGCCAAGTATAAGACTAAAATCTATTTGAATACCTCAGTCCTATGATCATTTGTTTCTTAACAAAAATGAGGACTGGAGAGGGAGACATTATGTTCCAAAACTTATCATACGTTTGTCACTAAATTCTAAACTCATTAGTTCTTTTTAAGTTTTTGCCTACATTTTAGATTAACTCTGCTTGTTCCTGTGAACCTACCAGCAATCTCCAGCTGCAGCTCAGAAAGAACAAAAGGGATGGGTAATGTACAAATCGGTGTCAATATTCTAGTTCCGAGCAATTATCCTGCAAATCTTGCCAGGTGTTAGAATAAATAAGGAATAAATAGGGTGCCCATCACCCAGAGGTTTCCTTCTGGGAAAGTAAAACCAAGGAAGGTAACAAAAGCCAAGCACCATGCACCCAAATCCTAGCAAGCATAACTATAGCTATCAGTTATCTGAGTGTGTCACAAGACATTCTTTCCTCTCCCTTGCTGGAGGAGAACTCAGTTCCACAGTTTCACCTTAGCCTTTAGCTTATCATAAGGAGTCCATGCAACCCCCACCCCCACCGCCCTGAGAAACATTTTTGTCCCAAACTCAATTCCAAGCTTCGGGTCAAAGCCCTAGGAAAGAAAACTGGATCTGAGGGATCCAGAGGCAAATGACAACAGAGGTTAAAAGGCACAGTGCAGGTGAGTGTGGCTGTTTCCTGCCAATTAAGCCAACCGCAAACTTCCTGTTTCATGAATAAAAACTGTGTTAATACCCATGGCATAAATGAGGTCTAGGGAACTCTAAGGCTACTGACAGTAGGTTGGAAAGGGACATAGGTGAGAGTGGATAATTCTTATTCTCTAGGTCTCCCTGCTTCATGGGTGCAAGTCTCTTTGACATCTATGACAGCACCTGCCAAGGTCACTGGAACTCGGGGATGCAAGGACAGAAGAGGGAAAGAGGACCCTCTCCTCTTCCTACCTCATTTACCTCCGGGTATCTGCTAGGAAGAGAAGGGAACCAGGCATGCCTGCTCCCTTTCTAGATAGGTAGCCATTCATCTTTAGTCTGTACCCCTTTCAAATGCATCCTGAGCCCCTGTGGCTCCTTTGAAAAAATGCCGTCTTTTTATTCCTTTCTCCTCCTCAGGACTCTCTTCACTGATAGGTAATTGTTTCTCCATACTATGGGACACTCCCTTCAGATGCATCCTCCAAACTATAAAGAGTAATTTCCTAAACCTTAAACTGGTTGACTTAAGATTGGGCCCAGGGGAAGGGAACCCAGAAGCCCAACTTGCCGGCAAAAGGGTAAAGTTTTTTTTTTGTTTTTGTTTTTTTTTTAAAAAACCAGTTGGGCTTTTGACCTCCCTCTCCCTGTACAAACTGGTAAAAGGCCTTGGGATCTTTCAGCTGTCCTTATCCCTTCTCTTGTTTTGTTTTGATTCATGTTTTCTAATAACCTGGTTCATCTGTTCTTGCCTTCAGGACATCACACTCAAAACAGTCATGCAACCTGAGCCTCTGACGATGGCCCCTTCTGCTGGGATCCCTTAGATAGGACTTTGAGGGAGCTCTGACTACTGTTTCCCCCAAACAGCACCCCCTGTCAGCAGGAAGCAGTTAAGTTCATCTTTGTCTTTATCCTTAATCTAAGGGCAGTTAGATGCATGTCTTTAGAGGGGGAAATGAGACAGCCAGTTGGAAAGGAGTCCCTGGAGAAACTCCAACCAGCCTGCCCACTGAGGTGGAACCTCAGGAATTTCACAACATTTGCAGCAGGGAGGAACTTGGCCCCTTCTCTTCCTGTGTGGAAACTGAGATTCAAATGGCCAGGTGGGAAGCACTCTAGTAGAGACTCTGGCCTTGTGAGAGTCTCTTTTTCCCCCTTTTCTTCCTTTTCACTGAATAAAACCCTGCTTTACTCACCCTTCAAATTGTCTATGAGCCTAAATCTTCATGACCATGGGACAGACAAGGACCTCATCTTTAGCTGAACTAAGGAAAAGTTCTGCAACAATTTGTATGCCAAAATCTATAAAACATTGATTAAAGAAACTACGGTAGACACCAATAGAAAGATATTCCATTTCCATAGACTGGCAGAATTAATATTGTTAAAATATGCATACTACCAAAAGCAATCTATGGATTCAATGCAATCCCCATAAATATCCCAATGACATTTTTTCCATAGAGAAGAATCCTAAAACTCAAATGCAACCATAAAATCTGTAGATAGTCAAAACAATTTTGGGAAGGAAAGAAATCTGGAGGTATCACACTTTCTCATTTCAAAATATAGAACAAAGTTACTATAGTTACCACTGTATGGTACTGGCATAAAAATAGACATATAGTCCAATGGAAGAGAATAGACAGCCAAGAAATAAACTCATGTAGATGCAGTTGCCTGACATTTCACAAGGGTGCCAAGGTTACCTAATCAGGAAAATATCACTCTATTCAACAAATTCTGTTGAGAAAATAATATTTACATGCAGAAGAATGCAATTGAATACTTTTTATTATACCATACACAAAAATTCACTCAAAATGAATTAAAAATCTAAACAAAAAACCGGAAATTATAAAGCTACAGTTTTACAGAAAATATTGGGAAGAAAAACAGTTCATGACACTGGCCTTGGTAATAATTTTTTTGGATATTACACCAAAAGCTCAGACAATGAAAGCAAAGATAAACACATGGGACTACATAAGAATAAGAAAGCTTCTGAATAGTAAAGAAAACGGTTAACAGAATGAAAAGATAACCTAAGGAATGGGAGAAAATATTTGCAAACGATGTATCATAACAGGACAATACTTAAAATGCATAAGTAACTCCTTTAACTCAACAGCAAAAAAAAAAAAAAAAAGAACAAAACCAAATAAAACAATTTACTAGATAGACATCTAATAGATACCTTAATAGTTAGACATTTTTCCAAAGAAGACATACAGTTGACCAACAGATATATAAAAAAGTGCTCAATATTGTTGTTATTGGAAAAGAACCGAGTTACCCCAAGTTACTGGTGGTCTATTCTTACCGATTCGGAGCAACTTCAGTTCTTGCCTCCTCAGAAGAAAGAATTCAACTGAGGAGCATAAAGCAGAAAAAGAGACTGAGACAAGTTCCAGAGCAGAAGTGGAAGTTTATTTCAAAAGGCCTTAGAACAGGAAAGAAAGGAATATGCACTTGGAAGAAACCCAAGCGGGCATGTGAAGGTGAAAGAGAAAGTCAAGTGCCCTGTTTAACCTTGATCCTAGGACTTCTATAAGCTCGCCTCTTCCACATGATCCTTCCCTTAGAGTGGGCTTCCCGCATGCTCAGTACTTTCCTTACTCTTTGGAGTTGAGCATGCGCAGTGTGTTAAGGGAATTATGAGCCTGTCCATCTGAGGTTTTCTTCCCTTTTCTGGTGGAATGTGCCCGCGGAAGATCATACTTCACCATTTTTGTTTCTTAATGCTCATGTGCAGGAAGTTGCTTCTCCCTTGGGCATGCATTCAATTAATATTTTGATATTAACAGGTTTGGACCATCAGGAAATGACCTTCCTCTGGCATTACCAAATTAAAGAGGCAATGCAATAATTGCCAGACCATCACCTGACATTCTAGTGGGTTGGGGGAGAGCCCTCTCCTGCCCCACTCATGCCTAACTATCTGTAACGACGTCACTAATTATCAGAGAAATGCAAATCAAAATCACAATCAAATACCATCTCACATCTCTTACAATAGTATTTTCAAAAAAATACCAAAATATATCAAGTGTTGTTGAAGTTGTAGAGAAGTGGGAACACTTGCACACTGTTGGTGGGAATATAAAATGATGTTTTTGATATGAAAAATCATATGAAATTTCATAAAAAGCAAATATAATGAAACAACCATATGATACAGCAATCCCAGTTCTGGATACATATCCAAAATTACTGAAATCAGTATCTTAAAGTTATATCTTCACTTCCAGGTTAATTGCAGCATTATTTACAATAGCTGAGATATAGAAACAACCTAAATGTCTATCATCAGATGAATGGAAAAATAAAACATAATATATATGTACATTGGAATATTATTCAGCATTAAAAAAGAAATTCTGCCATATATGACAACATGGGTGACCCTGGAGGGCATAATGCTAAGTAAAACAAGTCATCCACACAGAAGGATAAACACTGCATGGTTCTGTTTTCACTTATATTTGAAATCTAAAATAAACTCATAGAAGCAGAGAGTAGAATGGTGGTTGCCAGAGGCTGGGGAGAAGAAAGATAGGGAGTTGTTATTTAATGGCAATAATGTTTGTTATGCAAGTTAAATAACTTCTATAGATCTGCTCCAAAACATAGTGCCTACAGTAAACGATACTATATTTTACACTTAAAGCAGTTCTTAAGAGGGTAGTTCTCATGTTGTGTTCTTCCCACACATGTGTGCACGTGCACACATATGTACACACAAACAAGAAATATGAGAAAACTTGGGGAGGTGATGAAGACTTTTATTACCTTCATTGTTGTGATGGTTTAATGAGTGTATGTCCATGTTCAAGCTCATCAAATTATATAAATTAAATATATGAGGTTTTTGGAAATCAATTATAACTTAATAAAGCTGTTGAAACAAACAAACCAGCCCTAAGTGATGCCATGAGATAAAAAAAGTGATATTGCTCTGACAACATAGGAGCTCTTGTGATGGCTTTGGGAAAAAAAAAAAAAAAGCCTTTTCAAAAAATGTCCAGTAATTGACAATTTTCCCTGTTATATTCCTTCTGAAGCAGTTATGGCTGGTCAATGTCTGTGCAACTTTCAGAAGCTTGTAATTTCACTTAAATTTTGTTTCCATCATTTTGAGAAAGCAGAAATAATCACATGCAGCAGCAGCAGTGCTGTGGAAAGTATAATGTTACCTATCATCACAATAGGAAAACAACTAAAAGAGAATTGCAAATAAAGTTTTGTGCTCTCTCTCTATATATAATATATATACATTAGATATAGTTATATATAGTTATGTAATACCGATTACATAAAAAAAGTATTTTCATATTACTAGTGTAAATAAGCTAAGAAGAAATGATGAACAGAAGAAAGGAAGGAAGAAAGGAGGAAGGGAAAAAGAAAAGAAATGTGGAAGAAAAGAATGCAGCAAAAAGAGTCTAAGATGTCAACAGAGTCAAACTATCAGATCCTTTTTCAAGGTTTATGGACATTTACGTGATGACTGATATGGTGGGTTCATTGTGTCAAGAGTTAGTAGAAGAAAAACTCTTTAACTGATTCCTCCATTAAGCCTATTCTAAACCATTCTTTTACTGGTAACAAATAACAAGGGACAAACTCTAGACCATTTTGACCCATAAGGCTGCCCTTTGGCCAGAGATCGGGTCAGGTACAATTAGAAATTCCAAATCTCTTTCAATATATTTTCCCTCATGTCAACTATTTTAGAATTTCAATGAATAGCTCTATGTTCAAATTTCAAATCCCACAGCACTGCTTTAATAGAATCATCTTGCAAAAAGTTAATCCCTTTCTTCCCTTTACTTGTCAAGGCTAATTATATAGTTTCTCTAAACAGAGAAAATTACTATGCATGTGGTCTGTCAATTTCAGGGACACGGTGAGCTCAATTACTCTTGTGTAATAATTTATTTGCAACTACTCTTCAATATGTAGCCCTCATCAAACATATTTATAAAAATGGTTATTTGAACTCTTTGTCAATTACCCCTTCCCATAAATTAAAAAGAACTTTAACCTAATTTTAAATTAAATGATGAGGTAAAGCTTTTAATCTCTTTCTTTAAAAATGTAATCTAGAGAGCCATAATCTTTTTGCACATTACTCGGACAGTTGAACAAATATACTGCTATTGTATGCTACAGTTTTCATAGTCAAGAGGACAGTAACAGTAACCTGACAAGCAGTCATTACAAACGAGTTGGTTAGTGATTCCTCATCACTTTTTAATTGATAATTAAAAATATTCTGGTCTCTGGGCTCAGTTCAAAAGTGGAAAAGGCCAAATCTCAATGCGTGAGGGCAAAGAAAGGCACATCTGAGTTTAATGAGAAACAAATTGCAAGGCAGTCAGGAAAATACAAGTGAACTCAAAACAGGTTATTCCTCTTGTAAAATGGTATAGTGGAAAGAGATTTTCTTAAATCTAACCAAATGTAGGATGGGACTCCCTCACAGCATTCTGAACAACTATGGAATTCAGCTTACGTTTCACTTGACAACTGGTAAAGAAGAGGGAAGGGAGTGGAAATACTATCTCCTCCCACACCCCTATCAACTGTTGGCAAGATAGAACCAACTAGGAATGCTGAGTTACTAAGATAAGCAACAGCAGGAAGACACTATTTTCCTTAAACCGGAAGGGGAAAAAGGAGAGAATAGTATAGTAGTATCAAAGCCCAACAGGAGTCAGATTGTAGTGAACAACTGTAAAGCAATGAGCAATTCAAAGAATAGCGTCTCCTGTTAAAAAATGTAATATGGAGGCAAGAATGGAGCAGGTTAAAAAAAAAACTGTGGTGTAATAAAAAATGTATTTGGTCTTTGTTTCTGGTTTTAGGAGCTCTGTGCTCCTACAGAGCTCTGTGCTTAACCTATGGGG
This sequence comes from Homo sapiens, assembly GCF_000001405.40. Classification (NCBI taxonomy): domain Eukaryota; kingdom Metazoa; phylum Chordata; class Mammalia; order Primates; family Hominidae; genus Homo; species Homo sapiens. The sequence goes on along the minus strand of NC_000023.11, from coordinate 89,261,467 downwards.
TTACTGCCCCATAGGGTACTGCCACTAACAGAAGTTAGTGAGAGAATTGAATTGAATTTTCAAACACTTTGTTGGTATTGGAGAATTTGCAGAAATGGTGTGGAAAAATACATTTATTTGTTGTCAGAATAAAATCATATATTTTGTGTCAGAATTGATGTCAGAAAACATAAAAAAAGACCCTCACGGCCTCTTTTTTCTCATTATCCTATCTCTTGCTTCTGCCTTCCCCCTGGCTTAACACAGCTGGGAACAAGACCAGCAAGGTAGCGCAGGAAGCATATTCTGACATGGATGTTGTAGGAAAGAAATATGTCATTTCTTCTCATGTTAGGTTGTGTCTGAGGCTCCTTTACCAAAGGGCAAACTAACATGAGAAAAACCTATAAATATATTTGATATAAGTTTTACGTGACACAGGAATCCTTAGAAATAAAAACCCAAAGAAACAGGTAAACAGTTTGAAGAGTGATGAAGAGTGAATCGTCATGGAGAAATATAATTAGAAGACTAAATGCTATAATCTAATGATAATTAGCTTGGGGGAACTTATCAAGGATTGTTTGTTCACATTTTTCTTTATGTTCCTGTGTTTTCTGAGATAAGAATGTTTCTTTCCTTCAGACAGACAGAGAGAATCTCTTAAATGAGGGTCTTAGGACTCAAATGCCAAGGTGCCATATTTTGAGGTATCATACCCTGAATTCCACCAAGGTCAGTCTCCTGGGTCAAGACCAGAACAGAGAGGGGTAAATAATGGATATAGGAATGGGGTTGGGGGCAGGGACAAATGCAGATAATCAATACAAAAATAATCATAATAATTTATTGAAATTTTAACAAACACTAAATTTCTCCATTCTCCAACTTTCACAGGTTGGGTTCCTTAGAACATGGACTCTGAGACAGAGGTTAGAAGTACTCTATTATAGAATGCTCTTAGATTCAATTCAATTCCTGTGGTAGGAAAGTGAAGAGAGTTAAATAAAGAATAGGGAGTGGTAAAGCTGCAATGCATTCTGATTGGAATGACTGAATTTAGTCTCTATGGAGTTCTGCAAATGGGGTGACCCTTCAGAGCTGCCCTGAATTAGGGCAAGAAGCAGGCCTTTATGCTCCTATAAGGATCAGTATTTGGCTGCATATCATCTTGGGAAGTGGGCATAACCTTGTTCCTGGCACTCTTCTTTAGCCGAGGCATCCTCAAAGGGGATGACTACTGAGGATTTTCTACTGGCAGCAGTCCCAGCAGCTGCAGAATAAGTCCTTTATTTATGAGAGGAGATGAGGTCATGTGTTATGACATCTACCACACCAACTATCTTGGAAATGTCAGCTTTAAAATGGACTAGAAAGATCTCTAGACATGATATAATTTCATTCACTCATTCATCCACATATTGAACAAATACTTACTGAGCACCTGCTAGGTGTAAGTCACTGTGCCTTGGTTTGGGAATGTAGCCAAAAACAAAATAGACATGGTCTCTGCTCTTGGAAATTTAGCAAATAAGGAAGAAATGTAAACATCCAGGTGGATATTATATGCTAACTGCTAAGATGCAGGGAATAGCAGGTGTTTGAGACCATAGAAATGGGGTTCTCAACTAAGACTTGGGGGCATGCAGGTGAGTTATACTAAAATAAATGAGCAGAGGAGTGGTTTTAAGAGTAAGCAGAAGTTGTCTACATGAACCAGAGAGGGGATGGTATTCCAGAGAGAAGAATCAGCCTGTGGAGTTTTAGAGACAACAGAGAAAATGCCACGGTTAGAGAACTGAAAGATGTTAAATGTGAAGAATACAGAATACAGAGGGTCATTGGTGGGGACAGTGACAAGTGAAGAGACTGAACATATAAATGATGCAAAGATTATTAAGAAGCCTATAGAACTTGTTATAGAATTTAGATTTAATCATGAGAGTAATCAAAAGTCATGGAGGAGTTTTTAGTAGATGTAGTAATAATCATATTTGCCTTTTAATTTGTCAAAATTTCATTTTTTTCTTATTTGTTTTCTTCTTTTATTATTTGAACAAATATCAATAAATATCAATTGATAAACTACTATATGCCAGACACTAGGTGCTCAGAATACAGTGTCAAACTAAGCTTTAGAGGATGAATTATAGGGAGCGACACAAACAAAAAGACTAGTTGCGAGGTCATTACAATAGCCCAGTTGAGGGTTGTTAGTGGCTGATAGGATGATGTTTCTGAAAATGTAGAAAAGTTAAAGGTTCTTCAGGGTATTCAGGAGGTATGTTTAAAAGAAATTGGTAATTGATTGGTTGAGAGAGATGATGATGGGGAAGGAGAATTTAAGAATGACTTCCAGGTTTCTGGTTTTAGCAGATAGATGTAGACTGGTGTCTTTCATTGAGATGGAGTGTTGGGGTATAAAAAAATTTAGTTTTAACATCTTGAATTTAAAATGCATGTGGGACGTGTAAGAGAAGGTTAAGTGGCCCTAAAAATATACAGATTGAAAGCTTGAAAGATATCTCTTTCTAGCTAGTAATTTCTAATAATGTTACATTTATTTTTTTTTTTAATCTTTGGAAACTGTTTCTTCAGACATTGTAGCTTAAATTTGTTAGGTTTACCATGCCTAGCACACCTAACAAATTATGTTTATATGTACCACCAGTTGTATTGCATTAGTTTCTATCTTCATCAGAATCCTCTTACACCATTAGAAGTATGGATGAAAAGGGGGATTTCACTTACGTTGACATTGTATTTGATGTGACATAATGATGCTTCTATTTAATTCTAGTATTCTTCTAAACAACAGAATAGGATGCCGTACCCTGAGAGAACTGACATTAATTTCCTAGGCTCTTCCAAAATATCTTCATTGCTCTTAAATAGTGTACAGTTCCAGGAGACCTGAGATGTATTATTATATTCTGTAAAATTCATGTTTTAGCATAAAATAAAACACTAATTTTAATTTAGATTCAATTTTTATATATTAATTCACTTATTTTTCTTTATATTATTTAGTCAACATTGGAAAAATAATTCTCCACATCTGTTTTATTTAGCTACAAAATGTTGTGATTATTCAGCAAATTCTTGAATTATATCTTTACCGTAACCATACCACTAGCATTCATTATCTGAGTTGCAAAAATAAAATATTAGTATCTACTTGATAAGTGAAAAGAAGAATGTTTAATGTTAGAACTTAAAAGGGTTGGAAATCTAAATTTTATTGACTGCCTTGTTCCAGGAACTTCTGGCATGCCATTTCATTAAATCCTCACAACAACCCTGAAAAGTAGTTTCCCTCTCCCTTTTTACCAATGGGGAAACTATTTCAGGCTACATTCCTGATAACTCCCACTTGGTGGATCTACGGACACTTTAGCAGTTATTCCAATTTCAAAAGTCTATTGTAGCAGAAACTATCAGTGTTCTGTTTCCCTAGCCTGACTTCCAACATCAAACACCTACATTTTGACAGATGGCTGCCTCTTGCTAGTAGAACCCATTTTGTCCATGTGCATGGCTGGCCAGAAGTACCTGGGAACGAATATTTTCTATTGCACCTTTGTTAAATAAAACATATCTTTTCTTATAAGATAGCAGCATATAACTGATATCTTGGAAGTACTGCATTTCCAACAAATCAGCATTTTTTTTTTCCTTTTTAGTTCTTCTTTACAGATGAGGTAAGAAAACTAAATATTACTTGAAACTTTAGGGAAAATGAGTGATACAAAAAGAGAAATGATAAAGAAAATGACTGATTATGATTATTGAAAAACAAATTTATAAAACTTTGTTTGGCCAAGGCAAGTGCTCATGCACTTAAAATTTTTAAATGTAAATTTCAATGTCAATTTAAAATTTAAATTTTAAATATAAATTAAATTTAAAAATGTAATTCATGGAAAAGGTAAAAAAAGGCTTATTATGAATTATTAAATAAGAACGTCTGTGGATTTTTTAAAAATATCTCTGGGATTGACCTTTTTGCAAGCAAAATTTAACGCATGCTTTGCTTTAACTTTTGAAGAGTTTAAAAAGTCACCAGATTCTAACTGTCAATCAAAAAGTTTCCAGCAGTACACACTGTTCCATAGCAGTATCCCCCCATGGCAGGGAAGGAATAAATGGTGTCTGAAAATAAAGCAGTTTTATGATTCTTAAAATCCATTGAATTTTAAGACAGATGCAAAGAAAACATCACTTTCACCCGTTTGTTTTAGTCTTTCATGCTTAAAATATGCTATGTTGAATTACTTGGATGGAAATAGATAGAAAACTCCCTGACATTTTTTAAGCCATTGAGCTGGATGAAAAGGTTTTGTTTCTCTGGAGAGTTTTCATGCCATCTTTTATGGTAACTGCTGTGAGTAAGAACAGACATGCAACTTTTTCATGTCATCTCTTGATCACTCTCAAAAGAGTCCCACACAATTTCAATCCTCCAAAAACTTTTGTATAATCTTCATGAGAGTGTTCAGTTCTGTGAAATATTCAATTTGTGAGGCAGGTGGGAAAAAAGAAGATATTTGCTGCTAACTGCTAGTAACTATTCAAAAATAACAAAAGGGCTATAAACTCTCTGCTAATTTTTATGGCATTAAATCAAAATTAACAAAGAAGTTGAAATTGTTGATTGTCGTGACAAGTTTTTCAGTTCCTGAAATTACCATTTGCAGTAGTACCATTGTTAAGAGTGCTTTTTAATGACAATATGTGTGTTTGTTTATACATGGCACTTATACAAATGACTCACAATCAAGTTATATTAAAAGTTATTATTTAGAATGACAAAGTTATTCTATTAAAAAAAGTTTTCTTATTTTAAAAAATACCTATAATGGTGCTTCATTTTCATTTTGCATTTATATTTACGAAATTCATTATACCTTTGAAATTTATGACTTAGTTCACTTAAAATCTCCCTATTAAGAAACTGCTTAGTAAATTCCAAATGCAATTAGAAAGCAAAAAAGTTTATAATTCTAATTAGACTTAAAGCTATGATTTTATTTTTATTGTTAAATAGACATAAAAGTCAATTCGAATGTAGGAGATTCTGTCTTATGTATAGGACCTTCTGCCGTAATTTTGTGTCTGTAGAAACTTATGGTTTAGTGTACTTTTATGGATTATTTACTTAAATTTCAATTGCCTACTCTAATTTTCAGAGACTGAAGTGCTATTAAACATTTTCATATAATAAGAAAGGCACAATGAACCTAAGACCACGTTGATGATATTGGTTGCAGATTTACAGATTTCAAATTCAAACTACTGTAAAATGTAGTTTATTTTGTAAATGTTTTAATGTAACCTAATTCCCATAATCATGTTATAGAGTAACTTATTAAAAGCCTACTTACACTACCATGGCACACTATTACTTGCTCGAATAAAGTATTTTGCTGTTATAGTCAAGGTATATTAGTATATTACACTTTCACATTTATTTGGAGAAAAGATAAAAACAGCAAATATTTTTATACTGATATTTAACCCTTAGACATAGTTCCTTGTTTAAAAAAAAAAAATCCTGGACCAAGCCTGATCTACAGCTTGTAATGGGAAATAGCAAATGCCTGTCAGAGGGAGGATGGAGGATGGGAGATATGGGAGTCAATTATCAGCTCACCTCAGAATAATTATTTTCCCTCTCTCTTGAATTTTTTGTTTATCATACCCATTGCTTCAATGCCTTTTAAAATATGACATTTGTACCTTATTTGATGTATGCAATTGTTGCAATAGGAATTTGGGCCTTTCACCATATACTGTATCTTACTTGAAACTAAATAAATGTAGCTACATTTGAATGTTTTTTTTTTTTTTACTTAAATATACCTTAAGGAAATAAAAAAGCAAAACACAAAATGAGAGAAGATATTTGCAACACACATATTGCAAATGACTAATATCTGGATAATATAAAGAACTATTACAAATCAATAAGCAAAAACCAGATAATTTAATAGAAAAATAAGCTAAAGAGGATATTTGCATCACCAGTAAACATATTGAAAGGGTGTTTAACTTTATTGGTCATCAGGAAAACTCAAATTAAATCTACCATACAATACTATTATAATCCCAAAAAGAAGGCTAAAAAAAAAAGGCAGCAAAGATGAAGCATTAAAGAGTAAGTGGAACAATTGGAATTTTCACACAGCACTAATGGAGGAATTAACTGCTATAATCATTTTGTTAAACTACTTTGTATTATCTACTAAAGCTTAACATGTGTACATCCTAAGAACTAACCATTCCTACAATAAAAATGCACATATATATTCATGAAAAAACATATACAATGATGTTCATTGTAGTATTATTTATAATAAACACAAATGGAAAACCACCCAAATACTCATCAATAGCAGTTTGGATATATAAATTATAGTATATTCACAATGGAATATACACACAAGGTAACAAGAATTAATCATCTACAGCTATACAGAGCTGCACAGATAAATCTGGCAAGCATAACAATAAGAGTAAGAATGCTTGTGAAACCAAAAAAAAACCCTAGAAAACAAAAGAGCAAATAAAATATGATTCCATGTATATAATGTTCAAAAGCAGTAAACACCAAACTTTGTTTTAGAATTCAGGAGAGTGATTACTATCAGGTTAGTATTGTTACAGTCTCACCAATGCACCTTAATGTAGCAGTTTTTCTCCATTCAGTATGATACTAGCTGTGGGTCTATAATATATAACTTTTATTGTGTTGCAGTATTTTCTTCTATTCCCAGCTTTTTGAGGATTTTTATAACAAATGGATATTGAATGTTATCCAATGCTTTTTCAGCATCAGTTGAAATTACTAAATGGTTTTTTTTTTTTTTTTTTTTTTTCTGAGATGGAGTCTCACACTGTCGCCTGGGCTGGAGTGCAGTGGCACAATCTCGGCTCACTGCAACCTCCGCTTCCTGGGTTCAAGCGATTCTCCTGCCTCAGCCTCCCGAATAGCTGGGATTACAGGCATGCGCCACCACACTTGGCTAATTTTCGTATTTTTAGAAGAGACGGGGTTTTGCCGTGTTGCCCAGGCTGGTCTCGAACTCCTGACCTTGTGATCTGCCCTCCTCAGCCTCCCAAAGTGCTGGGATTATAGGCGTGAGCCACCATGCCCGGCCAAAATTATTAAATGGTTTTTGTCCTTCATTCTGTTGATAAGATATATCATGTAGATATTGATTTGCATATGTTGAACCATCCTTGCATCTAAACTGTTTCTTCTTTAGGAGGCATCCTAATTGCAGTAACTCTGTGGTTCTTACAGACTCGTAGAGTTTCCATCTTGATAGTTTTGGATAAGATCTGGAAGAATTATCTAGATTACCAGGCTGAGACTCCTGTTCTCTTCCCTTACTTTTTCCCAAACAAACAGAGTCTCTCTCTCTCTCTTTTGAGACACCTGGAGCTGCAGGTGGTGTGACACAAGCACCTCAGTAGTCACCACCAGTGAGACTGTGTTGAGTCAGATATGAAGAAAGCATAGCATGGGATCTTATCCAAGGCCTGCTGTAATCACTCACTGGCTACTGCCTATGTTTGCTCAAGGCACCAGGGGTCTAAAAACAGCATATGGCAAATCCAGCCAGATCTGTGTCCTCACTTCAGGGTGGCAGCTTCCCTTAGACCCCAGGTCTGTCCAGAGTTGCCATCTGGGAGCCAGGGACTAGAGGCAAGATCCTTAGAAGTCTACCTGGTGTTCTATTGTACTGCAGCTGAGCTTGTACTCAAAACACTAGATGCAGTCCTTCCCACTTTTCTGTTCCCTTTCCAAAGGCAGAAGATCCTCATCTCATGGCCACCACCACCACCACCACCATAGACCTATGGGGAGAATTGCCAGACTATCACTGATGTTCCCCTAAGACTCAAGGTCTCTTAAGTCAGCTTGTGGTGACTGTTGCCTGGCCTGGAACTCATCCTCCAGGGCAGTGGGATCCCCTGTGTCCTAGGACAGTTCCAAAAATGCATTCCAAGAGCCGAGTCCTAAAATTTGGGACCTCAAGAGCCTTCCTAGTGCTCTTCCCCATTGTGGGCACGTTGATACTTAAGTTGCAAGCCAAAGTCTGCTTTACTTTTCCATCTGCTGTTCTTAAGTGGGTGGAGTGTCTTCCCATAGCTACCAGAGCTGGGAAAGTGCTGAGTCTCACCTGAAGCAGCGAGTCTCAGAGTCTCACTCACGGCCCTCTATATATAGTAAGTGGGTATCACTGCTGGTTATTCAATGCTCAAGGACTCTTCAGTTAGCAGGTGATACATCCTGCCAGGACTGGTTCCTTCCCTTCAAGGCAGCAGGTTCCCTTCTGGCCCATGGTGTGTCTAGAAATGTTGTCTGTGAGTTAGGACGTGGAAAGGGGGCCTCACAACTCTGATGATGCCCTATCCTGCTGTGGCTTTGCTGGTATCCAAAATACAAACAAAGTCCTCCCCCCTCTTTCCTCTTCTCTCCTCAAGTGGAGAGAAGGAGTCTCTTTTGGCGCCATGAGTTCTGCAGCCTAGGGTTTTTTTTCTTTTTCTTTTTTGAAATGAAGTCTCGCTCTTGTCGCCCAGGCTGGAATGGAATGGTGCAACATTGGCTCACTGCAACCTCCTCCTCCTGAGTTCAAGGGATTGTCCTGCCTCAGCTTCCTGAGTAGCTGGGATTACAAGCTCCCACCACCATGCCCGGCTAATTTTTGTATTTTTAGTAGAGATGAGGTTTCACCATGTTGGCTAGGCTGGTCTCAAACTCCTGACCTCAGGCGATCCACCCACCTTGGCCCCCAAAGTGCTGGGATCACAGGTGTGAGCCACCGTGCCCAGCCCGGCCTAGGGTTTTGGGAGGGGTGATGCTAACACTCCCTTAGCCTCCCCAACTAGTGTCTCAGTAGGTAACATGCCCCTCCAGTCCACTGTCTCTGGGCCCAGTTCAGTACTAGGACTCACCATAGGTGTTTCAGTCCGTGTGGCCTACGCTGCTTTTCAAGTTTATTTAACTCCCCAAGGCACTTTAGCAAGCAGTGGTGAGGGATGTGGGAACTCAAGTTCCCACTGCTGGTATTGGTAATTCCCCTCTTGTTAGGGCTGTTTTAAATGCTCTCTCCCTTGGTGGGCATCAGCTGAGTTTGGTGTGGAGTTTTTTTTTTTTTTCTGTTATAATAGGACAGCACTGAGTTTAATGCCTCACAAATGCCATGATCTCCCTCACCCTAGTGCACTAAAATGTTTCCACACCATGCCACCACTGCCAGGGGATGGTGAATGGGTGGTGTTTTGGCTATTCAAGATTTTTTTACCTACCTTTTCACTGCCTCTTTCAGTGATACAAAGCTAAAAACAGGTGCTCTGTGTGCTCACTTGATTTTTGGTTCTTATGAACGTTTATTTTGTGTATATATTTGTTAAATTGGTGTCCTTGCAAGAGAGGCAATCAATGGACCCTTCTATTCTGCCATCTTGCTCTGCCTCAAATCTCACCTTGAACAGTTGTTGACCAATTTCAACCCAAGTAGTATATCCAGCTCTGAGAAAGTTCCAAGTTGGCTAGATAAAAACAAACAACAATAATTCTTTGAGAATGGGATAGTACTTTTCCCTCTACTACTAGAAAATCAGTACTAAAAATTTCTTCCAAGAATGCAAGGTCATCACCAAAATGAGTAGTAGAGGATGGTACCAAAGTAAATAAAAATGCCACAAAGCTCTTTTACCAAGACTCAGCTGTTATTATTTTCTTCAATAACCACTCCCCTGGTTTCTGTAAGTTTTTATGACATTTGGTGGTTCTGAAAAAGTTGATTCTGATTGTTTTTGCTAGCTTATTCACTGCTTTTTGGGTGGGATGGACATTTTGGGTTTCCTTTCTAGCTTTTTTTTTTCTAATATCATGTTATCTTAATAAATTTAAAAGAAAAAAATCATATAATGTATGTCCTTGGACCACAATGGAATTAACATTTAAATCAATAGGAGAAAGATAGCTGAAAACTTTTAAAATATTTCAAGATTAGGCACTAAACTTTTAAATAACAAATGTATCAAAGAAAAACACTCAAGGTAAATTAAAAAATATATTGTCAACTAAATCAAAAGAAAAATACAACTTATAAAAATTTGTGGAAGGCAGCAAAAGCAGTGAAGAGTGGAAAATGTATAGAATTAAATGCAGAAATTAGAAAAGAACAAATCTCTGAAATCGGTAACCAAAGTTCATCTCATATAATAATAAAGTGACAAAGATAGCCTAAAGAAAGTAAAATAATAAATGACTTAAAGTCAATAATCAACAAAATTAAAAGCAAAAATAATACAGAAAAAAAGGAAAAACCAAATCTGGTTTTTGAAAAGATAATAGAATCTTTTAACCTCTAGCAAGTCTAGCCAAGAAAAAGAAGAGATAAATTAACAATACTTTTTACAAAGTAAAGTCAGTCTACTAATCACAAATAATTGACAATAACTCCTAAGAAGATATAAGCAATGATAACTTTGTCACAAAATATACTGTTAATATACAAAATTTGATGCCTAGGAATACATCTAACTAATAAGGTTAAAAATTTCCACACACACACAAACACAAACACACACAAATAAATAAAAAAAAAAAAACACTGCTAAAAGAAATCATAGGTGACATAAACAAATGGAAAAGGCTTCTATGTTCCTGGATTGGAAGAATTAATGCCATTAAAATGCCCATACTGTCCAAAGCAACTACAGATTCAACACTATTCCTATCAAACTACCAACATAATTTTTTTTTCACAGAATTGGTAAAAACTATTCTAAGATTCACAGAGAAACAAAAAACAGCCCAGATAGCCAAAGCATTCATGTGGAAAAAGATCAAAGCCAGAGGCATCACATCACCCAACTTCAAACTATACTATAAGTCAACAGTAACCAAAATACCATGGTTCTGGTACAAAGCAGACACCTAGAACAATGGAAGATAATATATAACCCAGAAATAAAGCTTCACACCTACATTTATCTCATCTTCAGCAGTCAATAAAAATAATCAATGAGGAAAGGACTCCTTGTTCAATAAATAGGGCTGGGATAGCTACAAGGCATATGCAAAAGAATTAAACTGGACTCCTACAATTCACCATATACAAAAATAAACTCAAGATGCATGAAAGATTTAAATGTAATACCTCAAAGTATAAGAATCCTAAAGCAAAACCTAGGAAACACCATTCTGGATATCAGTCTTGGGAAAGAATTTATGACTAAGTCCTCAAAAGCAAATGCAACAAAACCAAAAAATGGACAAGTAGGACCTAATTAAAGAGCTTACGCACAGCAAAAGAAACTATAAACAGAGTAAAGAGACAACCTACAGAATGGGAGAAAATATTTACAAACTATGCATCTGACAAAGGTCTAATATCCAAAGTCTATAAGTAACTTAAACAACTGAACAGGCAAAGAATAAATAACCCCATTAAAAAATGGACAAAAGACATAAAGAGAAACTTCTCAAAAGAAGACATACAAGTGGTCAACACACATATAAATGAATGCTCAACATCACTAATCATCAGAGAAATACAAATCATAACAACAATAAGGTACTTTTAAACACCAGTCAGAATGTCTCTTATTAAAAATAAAAAAAAAAACAGATGTTGGTGAGGCTGCTGAGAAAAGGGAATGCTTACACACTGTATTCGTCAGGGTTCTTTAGAGGGACAGAACTAATAGGATATATGCATATATGAAAGGGAGTTTATGTTGCTTATCAGCTTAAGGAGATTTTGGGCTGAGATGATGGGGTTTTCTAAATATACAATTATGTCATCTGCAAACAGGGACAATTTGACTTCCTCTTTTCCTAATTGAATACCCTTTATTTCTTTCTCCTGCCTGATTGTCCTGGCCAGAACTTCCAACACTATGTTGAATAGGTCTGGTGAGAGAGGGCATCCCTGTCTTGTGCCAGTTTTCAAAGGGAATGCTTCCAGTTTTTGCCCATTCAGTATGATATTGTCTGAGGGTACAAAATCAACGTGCAAAAATCACAAGCATTCCTATACAATAACAGAAAAACAGAGAGCCAAATCATGAGTGAACTCGCATTCACAATTGCTTCAAAGAGAATAAAATACCTAGGAATCCAACTTACAGGGGATGTGAAGGACCTATTCAAGGAGAACTACAAAACACTGCTCAATGAAATAAAAGAGGACACAAACAAATGGAAAAACACTCCATGCTCATGGATAGGAAGAATCAATATCTTGAAAATGGCCATAATGCCCAAGGTAATTTATAGATTCAATGCCATCCCCATCAAGCTACCAAGGACTTTCTTCACAGAATTGGAAAAAACTACTTTAAAGTTCATATGGAACCAAAAAAGAGCCCGCATTGCCAAGACAATCCTAAACCAAAAGAACAAAGCTGGAGGCATCACACTACCTGACTTCAAACTATACTATAAGGTTACAGTAACCAAAACAGCATGGTACTGGTACCAAAACAGAGAGATAGACCAATGGAACAGAACAGAGCCCTCAGAAATAATACCACACATCTACAACCATCTGATCTTTGACAAACCTGACAAAAACAAGCAATGGGGAAAGGATTCCCTATTTAATAAATGGTGCTGGGAAAACTGACTAGCCATATGTAGAAAGCTGAAAGTGGATCCCTTTCTTACACCTTATACAAAAATTAATTCAAGATGGATTAAAGACTTAAATATCAGACCTAAAACTATAAAAATTCGAGAAGAAAACCTAGGCGATACCATTCAGGACATAGGCATGGGCAAGGACTTCATGTCTAAAACACCAAAAGCAATGGCAACAAAAACCAAAATTGACAAATGGGATCTAATTAAACCAAAGAGCTTCTGCACAGCAAAAGAAACTACCATCAGAGTGGTCAGGAAACCTACAGAATGGGAGAAAATGTTTGCAATCTACTCATCTGACAAAGGGATAATATCCAGAATCTACAAAGAACTTAAACAAATTTACAAGAAAAAATCAACCCCATCAAAAAGTGGGCAAAGGATATGAACAGACACTTCTCAAAAGAAGACATTTATACAGCCAACAGACACATGAAAAAATGCTCATCATCACTGGCCATCAGAGAAATGCAAATTAAAACCACAATGGGATACCATCTCACGCCCGTTAGAATGGCGATCATTAAAAAGTCAGGAAACAACAGGTGCTGGAGAGGATGTGAAGAAATAGGAACACTTTTACACTGTTGGTGGGACTGTAAACTAGTTCAACCATTGTGGAAGTCAGTGTGGTGATTCCTCAGGGATCTAGAACTAGAAATACCATTTGACCCAGCCATCCCATTACTGGGTATATACCCAAAGGATTATAAATCATGCTGCTATAAAGACACATGCACATGTATGTTTATTGCAGCACTATTCACAATAGCAAAGACTTGGAACCAACCTAAATGCCCATCAATGATAGACTGATTAAAAAAATGTGGCACAGATACACTATGGAATACTATGCAGCCATAAAAAACGATGAGTTCATGTCCTTTGTAGGGACATGGACGAAGCTGGAAACCATCACTCTTAGCAAACTATTGCAAGGACAGAAAACAAAACACCATATGTTCTCATAGGTGGGAACTGAACAATGAGAACACTTGGACACAGGGAGGGGAAGATCACACAATGGGGCCTGTTGTAGGGTGGGGGGAGGGGGGAGGGAAAGCATTAGGAGATATACCTAATGTAAATGACCAGCTAATGGGTGCAGCACACCAACATGGCACATGTATACATATATAACAAACCTGCACATTGTGCACATGTACCCTAGAACTTAAAGTATAATAATAAAAATAAAAAAAAGGGAGTTTATTAGGGAGAATTGGTTCATATGATCACAAGGTGAAGTTCCAGAAAGGCCATCTGCAATCTGCAGAAGAAAGAACCCAGTAGTGGCTCAGTCCAAGATCAAAAGCCTCAAAAGCAGAGAAGCTGACAGTGCAGCCTTTAGTTTGGGGTTGAAGGCCCAAGAGTTCCGGGCAAACCACTGGTGTAAGTCCAAGAGTACAAAGGCTGAAGAACCTGGAGTCTGATGTCTGAGGGAAGGAGAAACAGAAGTAAGCATCCAGCACAGGAGAAAGATGAAAGCCAGAAGACTCAGAAAGCCAATTTACATTCCACTTTCTTCTGCCCGCTTTTTTCTAGTCATGCTGGCAGCCTATTGGATGGTGACCACCACATTTTGGGTGAGTCTTCCTCTCCCAGTCCACTTACTCATATGTCAGTCTCCTCTGGCAACATCCCCACAGACACACCCAGAAGCAATACCTTACCAGCTATCTAGGAATTCTTCAATCTAGTCAAGTTGATACCTAATATTAACCGTTACACACATCATTTGTGGGAATGTATATTAGTTCAGACTCTTTGGATAACAGTATGGAGATTTGTCAAAGAACTTGCTACAGTTTGACCCAGCAATCCCATTACTGGATATATATCCAAAAGAAAACAAATAATTCTATCAAAAAGACACATGCAAGTGTATGTTTATCACAGCATTATTCACAATAGCAAAGACATGTGATCAACCTAGATGTCCTCTAACAGTGGATTGGATAAAGAAAATGTGGTACATATACACCATGGAATACAATGTAGCCGTAAAAATGATGGACATGGATGCAGCTGGAGGCCATTATCATAAGCTAATTAGCACAAGAACAGAAAATCAAATACTGCATTATCTCACACACAGGTGGGGCTAAACATTGGGTACTCATGAGCATTAAGATGGCAACAATAGACACTGGGGACTACTGCAAGGGACAATGGTTGAAAAACTGTTGGGTACTCTTCTCAGTGCCTGAGTGATAGGATCTTTCATACTGTAAACCTCTCAGCATGACGTAATATACCAAGGTAACAAAATCTTTTGTGTACCACCTGAATCTAAAATAAAATTTGAAAAACAAAACAAAAAAATGTAATTTTTTTAACAGAAATGAACACTTGGAATTATACGTAAAAAATATAATTAGCTTTATAACTTAAAAACAATGCAAAAACACCTAGGTGTATATTTAATAAAATATGTATAGTACTTGTACACAGAAAACTACAAAACTCTAATGAAAAAAGTCACATATATAAATAAATGAAGAGATATTTCATATTTATGGATTAGAAAACTCAACATTGTTAAGATGTGAATTTTTCCCAAATTGACAACAACATGAAACAAAATTTCAGGAAGATATTTTGTGGTTTTTGAAAAATTAATATTAAAGTTGTTACGAGATGGCAAAGGACTCTTTTGTTTGTTTGTTTTGGAGATGGAGTCTTGCTCCGTTGCCCTGGCTGGAGTGCAGTGGCTCAATCATGGCTCACTGCAACTTCTGCTTCCTGGGTTCAAGTGACTTTCCTGCCTCAGCCTCCTGAGTAGCTGGGACTACAGGTGTGTGTGGCCATGCCCGGCTAATTTTTGTATTTTTAGTAGAGTTGAGGCTTCACGATGTTGGCCAGGTTGGTCTCAAACTCCTAACCTCAGGTGATCCACCCACCTCAGACTCACAAAGTGCTGGGATTAGAGGTGTGAGCCACGGTGCCCAGCCAGGACTCTTAATAGCCAACAAAATCCTGAAGAAAAAGAAAAAAAATTTGCAGGTATGACATACCTAACTTCAGGCACAGTATAAAGATACTGTAATTAAGACATTTCATTGGTAAAAGAATAGGCATATAGATTAATGGGACATAATAGAGAATTCAGAAATACACCCATAGAAATATAGTCAATGGGTCTTTGTCAAAAAAAAAAAAAAAAAAACAAAGAAAAAACAAAGGAAATTTAATGGAGAGAGAATAATTTGTCAACAAATGGTCCTGGAATAATTGGAAATACATTATGTAAGAAAAAAAAAGTAATTTAGGCACAGTCTTTATGCCTTTCACAAAAATTTACTCAAAATGAGTCAGACCTAAAGGTAAAATGCAAAACTATAAAACTGATAGAAGAAAACAAGAGAAAATATAGATGGCCTTTGGTTTTGGATGATTTTTTTAGCTACAACACCAAAAGCAGAATTCATGAAAGAAAAATTGATAAACTGGACTTTATTAAAATTTAAAATATCTGCTGCATAACTTATGCTCTTCAGACATTGAAAGGAGAAGTTAAATACTAGAAAAACAATATATCTAATAAAGGACATGTGCCAAAAATATACAAAGAATTCTTGTAACTGAACAATAAGAAACAAGCAACTCAATTAGTAAATAGGCAAAATACTGTGCAAACATGCCATGAAAGAAGATGGTAAATAAGCAAGTGAAAAGATGTTCAAGTCATATGTAATTAGGTAATTACAAATTAAAAGAATGGGATACCACTATACACTTATTAAAATAGCTAAAGTTATAAAACTGACTATATAAAATGTTGGCAAGGATGTTGCTATGGTTTGAAAGTTTGTATCCCTCAAGATTCATGTTGAAACTTAATTTCCAGTGTAACAGTATTAAAAGGTGGGGCCTTTAGGATGTTATTAGGCCATGAGGGATCTGCCTTCACAGATGGGATTAGTGTTCTTTAAAATAGACTTCACATAGACAGTGTGGCCCCTTTTATTTGCCCAGCCATACCTTCTGCCTTATGAAAACACACTGTACAAAGCACTATAACAGATGCAGAGACAAGGGCCCTTACCAGACACCTAACCTGCCAGTGCCTTGATTTTGGACTTAGCCTTCAGAACTGTGAGAAAATACATTATTATTTATAAATTACTTACCCAGTCTCAGGTATTTTGTTGTAGTTCCACAAATAGACTAAAACAAATATGGAGCAATGGGAATTCCTTTTGTTTTCTTTTTTTAAAAAATTGTACTTTAAGTTCTAGGGTACAATGTGCACAACATGCAGGTTTGTTACATAGGTATACATGTGCCATGTTGGTTTGCTGCACCCATCAACTCATCATTTACATTAGGTATTTATCCTAATGCTATCCTTCCCCCAGCCGCCTACCCCCTGACAAGCCCTGGTGTGTGATGTTCCCCGCCCTGTGTCCATGTGTTCTCATTGTTCAACTCCCATTTAAGAGTGAGAACATGTGGTGTTTGGTTTTCTGTCCTTGTGTTAGTTTGTTGAGAATGATGGTTTCCAGCTTCACCCATGTCCCTGCAAAGGACATGAACTCATCCTTTTTTATGGCTGCATAGTATTCCATGGTGTATATGTGCCATATTTTCTTAATCCAGTCTATCATTGATGGACATTTGGGCTGGTTCCAAGTCTTTGCTATTGTGAATAGTGCTGCAATGAACATATGTGTGCATGTGTCTTTATCGTAGAATGATTTATAATCCTTTGGGTATATACCCAGTAATGAGATTGCTGGGTCAAATGGTATTTCTAGTTCTAGATCCTTGAGGAATCACCACACTGTCTTCCACAATGGTGGAATTAATTTACACTCCCACCAACAGTGTAAAAGCGTTCGTATTTCTCTACATCCTCTCCAACATCTGTTGTTTCCTGACTTTTTAATGATCACCATTCTAACTGGCGTGAGGTGGTATCTCATTGTGGTTTTGATTTGCATTTCTCTAATGACCAGTGATGATGAGCATTTTTGCATATGTATGTTGGTTGCATAAATGACTTCCTTTGAGAAGTGTCTGTTCATATCCTTTGCCCACTGGGAATTCTTAATAATTGCGGGTGGGAATGCAAAATGGTTCAGCTAGTTTGGAAGACATCGTGGCAGTTTCTTAATAGTCTAAAGATAATTACACCACATGATCTAGCAATTGTGCTCTTAGATATTTATCCAACTGAGTTGAAAACTTATGTCCATACAAAAATGTGCAAAAAATGTTTATAGAAGCTTCATATATAATTGCCAAAAATGAGAAACAAACAATATTTTCTTCAAGATATGAATGCATAAACAGACTATAATACATCTATAGGTTGAAGTATTATTTGGCAAAAAATAAAATAAATTAACTATGAAGCAACCAAAAGACATGGATAGATCTTAAAAGGGTAGTATAGTATAAAATAAGTCAGTCTGAAAATGCTGTATACTTTAAAATTCCAATTATGTGACATTTTTTAAAAAGCAAAACTATAAAGACAGTAAAAAGGTTTATGGTTGGCAGGGGTTTTGTGAGGAAGGTAGAGAAGGCAAAGGTGAAAAAAAGCAAAATTTTAGAGCAGTGAAATTAATTAGTGTGATACTGTAATAGTGGACACATGCCATTATGTCTTTGTCAAACCCATTGAACTTTATACTATATAGAGTAAACCTTAAATGTATGCATATATAAAAATAATTAAGAGGGTCAGAAGATCTGGGAAGGAATGCAGACTGTAACAAGATCTAACTGTATTATCAATGTCTGAAACAGCCTCATTGAAGAGGGTAGAGGAATAAGGTACTGACCTAAGTTACTTAGAAAATGAATAGAGAATGCAAAGCTAAATAAGAAAAAGGACTTGCCCGTAAGCACTGTACTCTTGTTAACCATGTTAATAGTCATAGGATTGTGTATTAGTCCATTCTCACATTGCTAAAAACAAATACCTGCCACTGGGTAATGGGTGTATATATATATATGTGTGTGTGTGTGTGTGTGTGTGTGTGTGTGTGTGTGTGTGTATTTATATATATAATATATATGTGTATATATATAACATATATCAGAGACCTTACAATTATATATACAATTATATATATATATATGTGTGTGTATATATATATATATATATATATATAGTTTAGTTTGCTCATGGTTCTGCAGGCTGTACAGAAAGCATAGCAAAATCAGCTTCTGGGGAGGCCTCAGGGAACTTACAACCATAGTGGAAGGCAAAGGGTAAGCAAGGCATCTCACATCATGGGAGCAGGAGCAAGGAGTAGGGGGTGCTACATACTTTTAAACAGCCAGATATCAGGATAACTCACTCAGTATCACTAAGACAATACTAAGGGGGATGGTGCTAAGCCATTCTTGAGAAATCTGCCCCCATGTTCTAATCACCTCCCACCAGTCCCTCCTCCAACAATGGGGATTACAATTCAATATAATATTTGGTAGGGACACTGATTCAAACCATAATGTTCTGCCTTTTGCCCTCCAAATCTTGTTTCCTTCTCAGATTGCAAACTACAATCATGCCTTCCCAACAGTCTCCCAAAGTCTTAACTCACTCCAGAACTAACTCAAAATTCTAAAGTCCAAGTTCTCATTTAAGACAAGGTTAGAAGTCCCTTCCACCTATGAGCTTGTACAATAAAAAAATGTTAGTTACTTCCAAGATACAATGGAGGTATAGGCACAAGGTAAATACTTTCATTCAAAAAATGAGAAATCAGCCAAAAAAAAAGTGGGGGGGACTTCAGGCCCTATGCAAGTCCAAAACCCAGCAGGGCAGCCATTAAATTTTAAAGTTCCAAAATTATCTCCTTTGAACCCATGTTTCATGTCCAGGCCACTCTGATGCAAGGGGTTGGCTCCCACAGTCTTGGACAGGTCTGCTCCCTTGGATTTTCAGGGTTCATTCCTCATGGCTGCTCTCATGGGCTGGTGTTGAATTCCTGTGGCTTTTCCAGGTGCATGGTGCACCTTTCAGTGGCTCTACTATTCTGGGTTCTGGAAGATGGTGACCCTTTTCTCACAGCTCCACTAGGGAGTGCCCAAGTAGAAACTCTGTGAGGGAACTCCAACCCCACATTTCCCCTCAACAATTTCCTAGTAGATGTTCTCCATGAGGGCCCTGCCCCTGCAACAGGATTCTGCCTGGACATCCAGGCTTTTCAATACATGTTCTGAAATCTAGGCAGAGGCTCCCAAGCCTCACCTCTTGCACTCTGTGCACCACAGGATTAACACCACTTGGAAGCTGCCAAGGATTATGGCTTGCACCCTCTGAAGTAGTATCTTGAGCTGTACCTTGGCCCCTTTGAGCCACAGCTGGAGCTGGAGTGGCTAGGATGCAGGGATCAGTGTCCTGAGACTGTGCAGGGTAGCAGGGCCCATGGCCTGGTCTACAAAACCATTATTTTCTCCTAGACCCTGGGGCTTGTGATGGGAGAGGCTGCCGTGAAGATCTCTAAAATGCCATGAAGGCCTTTTTTTTTTTGTCTTGGCTATCAGCACTGGCCTCCATTTTACGTATATGAATTTCTGAAGCCTGCCTGAAATGCTTCCCTGAAAATGAGTTTTTCTTTTCTACTACACGTCCAAGCTGAAAATTTTTTAAACTTACACTCTGCTTCCCTTTTAAATATAAGTTCCAGTTTCAGGTCATTTCTTTGTTCATGCATATGAACATAGGCTGATAGAATCAGCCAGAGAACATCTTGACCACTTTGCTACTAAGAAATTTCTTCCACCAGATACCCTAAATCATCACTCACAAGTTCCACAAATCCCTAGGGCAAGGGGCACAATGCCTCCATGTTCTTTGCTAAAGCATAACGAATGTGACCTTTGCTCCAGTTCCTCATAAGTTTCTCATCTTCATCTGAGACCACCTCAGCGTGGTCTTTATTGCCCCTATCACTATCAGCATTTTGGTCAAAGCCATTCGACAAGTCTCTAGGAAGTTCCAAACTTTCCCTCATCTTCCTGTCTTCTTCTGAGCTCTACACACTCTTTCAACCTCTACCTGTTACCCAGTTCCAAAGTAGCTTCCACATTTCTAGCTACCTTTATAGTAATATACCACTCTTGGTACCAATATTCTGTATCAGTTTTTTCCTCACATTGCTATAAAGAAATACCTGAGACTGGGTAATTTATAAGGAAAAGAGGTTTAGTTGGCTCATGGTTTTGCAGGCTGTACAAGAAGCATAGCAACATCAGCTTCTGGGGAAGCTTCAGGGAACTTACAATCGTAAACAGAATGTGAAGGGGGTATGAGGCATCCTACATGGTGGGAGCAGGAGCAAGAGAGAGAAGGGGGAGGTGCTACACACTTTATACCAGCAGATGTCATGAGAACTCACTATACCAAGACAATACCAAGGTGGATGATGCTAAACCATTCACAAGAAACCTGCTCCCATGATGTAATCGCCTCCAACCAGGCCCACTTCCAACATTGGAGATTACAATTTAACATGAGATTTGGTGAGAACACATTAAAACCATATCAGGGTGTCAGTCAACAATTCTGATACTGCTATATATGTATATTAAAATTGAACAATTACATAAATGTGTAGCAGATGGTGGGAGTCAGGTTGTGCTTTTGTACTGGAAAGTTATGGGAAAACAAGAACAGGCTGAAATAATCCATATGGTAATGCATTAGAGTTGGATGCATCAGGAAATAAACATGTTTAACTAAATGTAGAGACAGATGGTAAAATAGAGACATATTTATATATATGTGTATATAAATAGGTTAGTATACACATAAATAGTTCTTTGCTCTGTCAGCAGAGTGCCTAAAAGATATAATCCTAGTAGCAACAAGACAGCTAGGGCCTAGCTCTTGGTTCCATTCTCTCTTTAAAAGATGCAGGACTTCTTTGAGAAATGGCTGATACTAGGATTGCAGTGGGAAATATAGAAGATGAGCCTGAAGATTCTAGTAGTGCCAGAAAATATGGGCGTGCTCAAAAACAAAGTAACATTGATGGAGTTATGTCAAAGGGATACAGAAGTCAAATGACAAAGCTCTAAGTAGCCAAACCTGGCACAATTTAATCAATAGAATAACTAAAATAGTACTGTAGTATAATACAAAGTCTAAAATAAATACCTATGAGTTCAAACAGAAATAAATGAATTATTGAATAAATTAAAATTTGGGGAAAGAGGCAAATCTTCCATCTTGGAATCCAGATGATTTATGTAAACACTGCACTCTAAAGGAAGTAGAAGATAACTTCCCATTCCTTAAAAGTGGACTGCATATAGTTACTTTCCTCTAGAGTGTACTATATCTTAAGGAAATAAAATTACTTGTAAAGTGGAGAAACCTTAAAACTAATACTTCAGCTAGATAATCAAGATCAACATAATTACTCATAAATCAAGTATATACCTAGATCTAATATGAGAAAAATTCCACTTTGTCTCTGTGATCTTTCTCTCCTAAACCCATATCATCAATCTAATCATGAAAATAGAATCATGGGGAATAAAACATCAGGCATATTCTAATAGGGGAACATCCTGACCAGTGGTAAGGAAAAATATATGCAAATATTTGTACTAGAGTTCTCCAGAGAAGCAGATCCAATAGGATATAAATAGAGATGTGTAGAAAGAGATTTATTCTGAAAGATTGGGTCATGTGTTTATGGGGGATAAGAAGTCCTGTGATCTGCCATCTGCAGTCTGGAGGCCTAGGAAAGCCAGTGGTATAGTTCCAATTCAAGTCCAAAGGCCTGAAAACCAAGAGAGCTCATAGTGTACCTTCAGTCTGAGTGGGAATGCCTGAGAACCAGGGCACTGATATCCATAGGCAGAAGAAGATGGATATCCCAGCTCCTGAACAGTAAATTTGACCTATCTCCATTTTTTTTGTTGTTGTTGTTCTTTGTAGGCCCTCATTGAATTGAATGAGGCCTGCTCACATTGGTGAGGGTAATCTTTTTTTTTTTTTTTTTTTACATAGTGTACTGATTCAAATGATAATGTCTTCCAGAAATACCTTTATAGACATGGCCAGAAATAATGTTTACCAGCTATCTGGCATCTAGTAGCCAAATAAGTTAACTACGACACTTTTTAAAACCATAAGGAAGAATGTATTCGGGACTATTGCAATAGGTGTTAAGATCATCACGGTAAGGGAGAGGGATTGATTTCAGCTCTGCATATAGCTTAGATATGTGGGAAGTTATAGCCAGTGAACAGTTAAGGGGTCAAAGGATGAAAAAATACCACAAAAGACAATAGGAAACAAGATATTTTTTGCTAAACCAATTTAAGATTATTGCTGAATGCAGGGCAGTGTGATAAATATCAAGAGTGGGAAATATTTCCAAACCAACTTAGGAGTATTTTTGCTAAAACTAAGCTATGCAAGCCTGGCCAGGATGGGGGCCAAGGTTGAGGCCTAGTCCAGAAGAAAGCTCAGAAGAGCCTGACTGAAGTTTTACCAAGAAGAGATTCTGGGCCGGGCGCGGTGGCTCACGCCTGTAATCCCAGCACTTTGGGAGGCAGAGACGGGTGGATCACGAGGTCAGGAGATCCAGACCATCCTGGCTAACAAGGTGAAACCCCGTCTCTACTAAAAAAATACAAAAAAATTAGCCGGGCGTGGTGGCGGGCGCCTGTAGTCCCAGCTATGCGGGAGGCTGAGGCAGGAGAATGGCATGAACCCTGGAGGCAGAGCTTGCAGTGAGCCGAGATCACACCACTGCACTCCAGCCTAGGCGACAGAGCGAAACTCTGTCTCAAAAAAAAAAAGAGAGTCTGTTACCAGTGCTCCTATCAAAGTAATAAAAAATAAATTCTGAGACAACGTTAAAGCCAAGAGTAACCTAAGGAAACATGACAATCAAAGCTAATGTGGTATCCTGAATGGAATCTTGAAGTACAAAAAGGCCATTAGGTAAACACTAAGGAAATCGGAATAAAATATGGAATTTAGTTAATTCATTAATCAAAAAATGTGCCACACTAATGTAAAATATCAATAATGGAATTGTGCAAGTCAGGGAATGGGGAGGTGTACAGATACTCTCTGCTCCATTTTTCTATAAATCTAAAGCTGCTCTAAAAATAGTCTAGCAAGTAAAATGAAAAAAGAGAGAAACATGTATTTATGCCCTACTAACAAACTGATGGGTCTCCTGAGTATAACTTTATTTTGTACAATTAATTAATAAGCCATCATTATGCCTAGAGCTATTCAAGGTTTTATGGAAGATTTTATAGACCTACACTATAGCTTCTGCCCTCAGGAAGGTTGAAATCAACATATTCTCATTATTCACCTATAGACTGTGGATGCAGCAATAAACCTAAGGAAATTAGGAAAGTTTGCCCTTAGACTTCTTGCCCTTTAGATGCCACTCCCCCTACCACAATATTCTAGTCCATATACATACCTATTTCTTCTGCCTTTTCTTAAACATTATCTCATGTTGATGTTCACTCAAGTCAACATTCTCTGAGACTGATTTATGTAGGATTTGATACTGTCCTTTCTCACTTTTGACCTTCATTCTCATACCTGGTTACATGAGCTTCTTTTCCACTTTAAGAGAGGCAGGGCACACCAGAAGTTGTCTTTACTACGGAGATGTGCTACTTTCCCCAGTGCTATATTCTGGACACTAAATTTTAATTTGAAAACTTTTTATGACACTCATCTAAATTTCCCTCTACTATTGTTTTCTCCTCCAAGCGAGACTCTTTGATCCTGCAGAGGTAAGAATGTCTTACTCTAGGTTAAAATAAAATAAAACAAAAATCCAGCTCATGTTAATGTCCTAGAGCAATGACAAAGAAATCATACCCTGCCAGGTAACAATGTAATTTAGATAATGACTTTCTAGAGACAGTGCACCTACTTTTATTTAATGCAGAGAAATGACTGGACTAATCACTGGACCCATTCTATATTTAGATACAAATACATACCATTGTGTTACCATGACCTACAGTATTTAGTACAGCAGCATGCTGTATATGTTTATAGCCTAGGAGCCTTAGGCTATACCAGCGAGCCTAGGGGTGTAGTAGGCTATACCATCTAGGTTTGTATAAGTACGCTCTATAATGTTCACACAATGAGAAAATTCTCTAATGACACATTTCCCAGAAAGTATCCCCACTATTAAGTGATGTGTGACTATACTTGCGTGGTGTTCCTTTATCTATACCATTTAGGTGACTGTCTACTCCACATGTGCACAGGAACAGTTATTTATGAAAAACAGTAAAATCTCTGAACTTTTATATTTAGATATATCTAATCTTCAAAAAATATGTGGAATATTTAATTTTCTTCTAATTTGCAGGTTCAAGGGAAAGTAAAGTATTTGTTCTACAGAAACAAGTCATTTAACTTTGTTTCCTTTGTTAGGGTAATGTCAATTTTTAGCTATTTCATTTATATTAACGTTTAATTTTAAAAATTACATTAGGAACAGATGACTGAAGACATGAGGGTCATAGCTGTGTTTTTAAAACAAATAAAAATAACACTCTAAGTTTGTAGTTTCCGGGTTGCTTTGTCATTGTGACAAGATGATATCATCTAAAAAAAAACTAAAACAGCCTCATCTCCAGGGAGCCTTCAAATAGATCTGCATGCAAAAAGGTTTTATATTTTCTTTTAGCACTCAATCTAGACTGGCAGAGTGTATGTAGCAGGGTAAACATCAAACACTGAATAAAATAAATTTTATTTTATCTTCAAGAATGAGGCTAAATTCAAAAACTTGTCATATCTTCCCTGCCTGATGAAGCTAAACCTGCAAAACCATTTTAAATTACAAAATAAAAAAATCATATCTGACATTAAACACCTATTGAGCTGGAGACATTTTCTTTTTGCTCACAGAAAAATTAGCCACACACTGCAGCTGCTTTTTTATGAAAAGCAAAGAAGAAAATCCAAAATCATGAGGAAAATAATGATTAATCTACCAAAAAAGTTAATGTATAATTGGTAGGTCAGCTTCTTCAAAGAAATACCTGCTCTAGTAATTATAAAATTAATGAAGAACTTTCTATTTTGAGAAACACATTATTACTTTACTGCATTATTCTACCTCAACTCACGTAATAAAGCCACATAGTGAAGCTGACTTCAAAGAAACAATTTTCTTAGTTTCTCTCAAGATCTTTGGTTGTAAGATAACAAAAAGGGACACGCCATAATGTAAGGATTGCCCGGGCATCACAACCAAATATGTACATAACCCATGATCCCAGTAAGAGATAATTTTTACTATCGAATCACCATTCCTTGTCTTCAGATCTTAAAGAAATAGTGGTGTATTCTGGAAAAACCTTTTAAAAATAATTGGTTCTTGGCTTCTTCCAGGAAGGAATTCAAGGGTGAGCTGGTGGTAGAAGGAAACAGCTTTATTGAAGTAGCAGTGTTAGAGCTCCATGACTCCTCCTGCAGAGCAGGACTACCTCACAAGCAGTTTATCTAGAGTAGCAGTTCAGGGCAGTTCTGAAGCAGCTTTTATATCAATTTTAATTACATGAAAATTAAGGTGTAGGTTATTCAGAAATGTCTAGTAAAGGGGTGGTAACTTCTGGGTCATTTCCAGGGAAGGGGTAAACTCTCATAACTCTGGTGGGCATGTCTTATGGAGAGGTGCTTCGGATTCTTCCCTGTTTCTCAGTCTGGTCCGGAATGGAGTCCCACTTCCTATTTCTCTTTCACTCAACTTGCTATGTCATCCCCAGAGAACAACCATACCAATAATATAAAATATTTCAAAAAGCAGACTTTTAAAAACAGTGTTTCAGCTTTCATAAGTTAGTTACATTCAGCCCACACTCAGTAATTTTTCCACACCCATTTTTCTCTTTAAAGCTCACTTACTGTATTTATAGTTTGCCTCTTCTATTAGATACTAACTACTAAGGGCAGGACTTGTATTTTATTCATCATTACATCTCCCAAATCTGTAGAAGCAGTGTTTTAAGCACAGGAGGCCCTGAATATGGCTGGGCGCGGTGGCTCACACCTGTAATCCCAGTATTTTGGGAGGCCGAGGAGGGCAGATCATGAGGTCAGGAGATGGAGACCACCCTGGCTAACACGGTGAAACCCTGTCTCTACTAAAAATACAAAAAATTAGGCGAGCGTGGTGGTGGGTGCTGTAGTCCCAGCTACTTGGGAGGCTGAGGCAGGAGAATGGCGTGAACCCCAGAGACGGAGCTTACAGTGAGCTGAGATTACCTCCAGCCTGGGCCACAGAGCAAGACTCCGTTTCAAAAAAAAAAAAAGAAAGAAAGCCCTGAATACTGGTCTCTTATACTAAACTTGGTTTAAAGAGACCAACATACATTAAAAATATAATACAGGCATTACTAGTTAAGGGTGGAGAGCAAGAGAAAGGGAAGGGTAAGGTACACAAGTGAAAGAGACAATAAGAAATAGTAACAGATTGTTGGAGGTGAAAAATATATATATAAGAATAGTAAATAAAAAAGGTAGGAGAAAGAAGACATTAGATGAAATGACCAAAAGGGAGGGATTTCAAAAACCTATTAATTGAACGTAAGACTCTAATAAATGAACTTCATTGCATTATCTTCTTCTTGTATAAATAGCTATGATGTTCCTACTGTGTATCAGTTACTGTTCTAGGTGCTGGTGATTGGTTTTCAGTAGCTGACACTTGTACAAGAGATCAAGCAGTGAGAAACAAACAAGAAATAAATATTAAAAATTAAACAGAAACAACTTATGTGTAAAAAATGATGGTAAATGATACAATAGAGCGAATGGAACCCTAAGAGTTAGTGAAGGACCATTTGAGGAGGTGATATGTATCTAAAATCTAAATGATACTGAGGTCCAGCAGTGTGACATCAGGGAGACGACCAGTCCAGAAAGTGGGAACAGGTAGTTCAAAGAGTATAATATGGGAACTTAGTATATTTTTTAAAAAAGAGCATTGGTATTCCTAAAGCAAAGGGGTTAATGGAAAAGTGGTTCAAGATGAAGTTGAAGAAGAAGACAGAGGCCAGATCATGGGGCCAAGGTATGTAATTTGGTTTTTATTCCATAATAAAGGGAAGAAAACAAAGGATTTAAATGGCCATTGTGTTACACAATTCCTAGGGATACAATTCACCTAATATTTCTATGAATGTTTCCCCATGTAGATTATGATGTAGCAGGCAAAGAAGTCCAAAGTAGACCAGTGTAGCATAAAATTATCTTGAGCTTAAGAAAGGTGAATGCATAAAAATTTTGATCTGTCTAAAAGCAGAGCCTCCCAAAAGAATGCAAAAGAACCCAATTGTCATAAATCTCCTCCCTTGCGGCAACCAAGGAAGACTGACTTATCACCAGAGATGAGTTATTCAGAATTTTATATAACTTTACATGACACCCAAACAGATATGATAAAACGGTCATATTTTCCATCTATTCTCCTAAGACCCCTTTGTTTTTCCTAAAAATTGTTTTTCCACAAGTGCACTATACCTCCCCTATTTCACCTATTAAGAAGTCATTTATTTTTCTGTAAATGCCCTTCTCTCCTTCCACTTTTCTTATTAAGGTGGTATGAAAAGCCCCAAATTCTAAATGCTTCCTTGAGTCACATTTTTCTGTGAAATCTCATACATAGTACAGGATTAAACCTGTTTGTTCTCTTGCTGGTCTGTCTTTTGTCAGCTTACTTTGCAGGCTCCAAAGTATAAAGCTAAGAAGGTAGAAGAAAAGATTTCTTTTGGACACAGGCCTGGTAATCTTGGGCATGAAATGATCTGATTTATGATTATTTTGTTTTAAATTTATTTCTTGTTGCTCTATGGAGAGCGGCTTATAGGAGAAGAAGCAAAGAGACTACATAACAGGATATGGTAGAGAGAGCTATAATAATGGCTTAGACTAGAGAGATAATAGGGAGGAAAGCAATTAGAATTTTAGTATATATTTTGGATGTAGAATTAACAGAATTTACAGATAAACTGGATATGGAGAGTAAGAAAAAAAAAAGGAATCAAAGTTTTTTTGTTTTTTTTTTTTTTTACATTACCAGTAGATTGAAATCTAGTTGCATTTATTGAGATGGAAAAGACAGAAAGAGAAATTAATGGAAGTAAAAGGCCTGCTACTTTGGTTATTCAGTTTGTCCCCTGCACGTCCCTAGAGAAGCACCATTCTCAACTTAGGCATTGCATGTTTTGACATTTGTTTGGGAAACATTTTACAGATTGCAGAAAAGTGTCCTATTTTAATACTATGTGTATATCATACTTTTCTTATAATTATAATAATCGTATCTTAAAAACAGGATTCCATTTTTATAATTCACATAAAGAAAGGGGCAGGATAAGAGAGTTGAAATCAATACTTTTGTTCTAGCCATATTAAATGTAAGGTATATAGTAGGTATTCCAGGAGAAATGTCAAATAGGAAGATGGATCTTAGAGCCTAGAGGTCTGATAATAGATAAGGGTTAGACTTGCAGATCTGGGAATCACTAGCATTTATTAAGCATTTAAAGCCTAGAAAACAGATAAAATTACAAACGGAGAAAATACAGGTAGAAGTGACATATTAATCATTTTTTATATTTCTTAACTTTCTCTAATTAAAGAATAAAATTCTGGATTTAGAAGGTAACCTGGAGGACATCTCCATTCCACTCTAAAATTCACGAATCATCATTATAGCATCCCCGAGACGATATCATATAATATTTGAATATTTCCAGGTATAAGGAGTTTGCAGCTATGCATGGAAGCCCATTCCATCATTAAATTATTGGAATTTTAAAAAGACATCCTCACTTACAAGTTCTGCACTGATGACAGTAGATAATTTCTGAAATGCTCGATATAATCAAGCAAAGAGATTTTGATAAGGTTCTTGGAATTGGAGTTCCCCATCTTGTTCCAGCAATCTGAATTAATGTCTCCATAAATTTACCATCAGTAAATAATGTAGCACTAAAAAGACACTGGCTCATAGTATGTTCTTATCAGATTCTAAACATATGTAATAATATTACACATTTTTCTAATCAAGACTTTATTCAATAAGGCTCTTCTTTTATTCACTCAATGTATTTCAGAGCTATGCCTTGTAACGATTCATAATACACAGTCAGATAAAAAGTACTTTGTGGAGAAGTAGTAGTGTTCATTTTGTTGTAAAATTGCCTTTTGGTACCAAGAGAATATGCCTGCATTAAAAATATGTAAGGAATTTTCTTCCCAGGTGTTTGGGTTCAGGAATAAATTTTATATAACTAAAGTAACTCAGGGCAGAGCATTTGGAGCCTGCTCGGCAACTGCTGCTGCCCTGAAGCCAGATGCATGATATGAAGTGACCTATGCAGGTTCACTGCATTTGGCGGCTCATACTGTGGCATAGAACAACTACAAGGGCACTTCTCCTATACACTGTGATGTGACTGATGATCCTAGAGTTTTGCAACACAGGAGCCCTGGTCCCAAAAAGTAACCAGTCTTCCTCAGACCAAAATATTGGAAAAGGCAGAGAAGTGGACAATTATAATAATTATTGCTAAATGTTATTGAACAATAAAGGAAATGCTTTACCTTGACATTTTTTTTAACCTTCATAGCAGATAACCTTCATAGTAGATAATATTTTCTGTTTCACAGATAAGGAAAGTAACAAGTACAAAATGACACATTCCTGTTAACAAGTTGTTTACATTCAGTGAGAGAAAAACGTCTTTTAGGAATCATCACAATGCAATTTATTCCTCTTCAATGCAAAAAACTCTGAGTCATCTTTGACAATTTCATCTCTTTCGCCATATTTAGTAAGTTATCAGTTCTTATCAATCACACTCCCAAATGTGTATTATTCTTCTCGCCCCTGTCTACCTTCATTGTCACTGCCGTAGTTCTAACTTCTTTTTCCCAGTCTTTTTTTTAAGCCTTCTAACTTGTCTCTCTGTCATTAATTTTTTCCACCTCCAAACTATTGCAGGAATACCTAGTTTTATTGCACTTCACTTTATTGTACCTCACAGATATTGCATTTTTAAATCTTTTATTGGTATATATATATATAATATTTTACATATTTATGGGCTACATGTGAGTTTTTGTTACATGTACAGTATGTGTAATGATCAAGTCAGGGTACTTGGAATATCTATCACCTTTAGTGTTTATCATTTTTCTGTCCCCTCTTCTGGTTACTTTAAAATATACATAATACTGTTGCTAACTATAGTTATCCTAACCTGCTATCAAACATTACAATTTATTTCCTCTATCTAACTGCACTTTTGTACCCGTAGCTAACCTCTCTTCATCTACCCTTCCCTCCATTAACCCTTCCCAGTCTCTGATAAGTATCATTCAATTCTCTATGTCCATGAGGTTGTTTTTTTACCTCCCACATAAGAGTGAGAACATACATTATTTGTCACTCTGTGTCTGGTTTATTTCACTTAACATAATGACCTTCAGTTCGATTCATGTTGCTGAAAATGACAAGGCTTCATTCTTGTTTATGGCTAAATAGCATTGGTAAACACTAAGCTTGATTTCATACCTTTACTATTGTGAATAATGCTATCATAAACCTGTGAGTGCAGGTATCTCTTTGATACATTGGTTTCCATTCCTTTGAATAGATACTCAGTACTGACTATGTTGGGTCATATAGTAGCTCTCTTTTTAACTGTTTGAGAAATCTTCATACTGTTTTCCATACTGGTTGTACTAATTCACAGTCACACCAAGAGTGTGTAAGAGTTCCCTTTATTCGGCATCCTCACCAGCAGCTGCTTTTTTTTTTTCTTTTTTGCCTTTTTAGTAATACTCATTCTAACTGGTGTGAGATGATACTTTGTTGGGATTTTGATTTGCATTTCCATGGTGATTAATGATGTTGAGCATTTTTCATATGCCTGTTGGCCATTTTTATGTCTTCCTTTGAGAAATGTCTATGCGTGACACATAGCCATTTTAATTGATGCATTTGTTTTATTGTTTAGTTGTTGAGTCCCTTGTTGGATAAGTAATTTGAAAACATTTTCTCCTACTTAAGAGGTTGTCTCCTCATTCTGATGATAATTTATTCTGCTCAACCAAAGCTTTTTTGTGTAATATAGTCCCATTTGTTTTTATTTTTGTTACCTGTTCTTTTGAGGTCTTAGTTATAAAAATTTTGCCTAGACCAATTCCTGAAGCATATTCCCTATGTTTTCTACTGCTATAGTTTTGACTTTTACATTTAAGTCTTTAGTCCATTTTGAGATTACTTTTGTATATGGTGAGAGATGGGGTCCAGTTTCATTCTTCTGTATCTGGTTATCCAATTTTTCCAGCACCATTTATGGAAGAAGGTTTTCCTTCCCCAGTGTATGTTCTTGGCAGCTTTGTCAAAGATCAGTTGCCTGTAAATATGTGGATTTATTTCTCTGTCGTCTATTCTGTTTCATTGGTCTGTATCTATTTTTATACCAATATCATGCTCTTTTGGTTATTATATTTTTGTAATCTGTTTTTAAGTCAGGTACTGTGATGCCTCCAATTTTGTTCTTTATGCTTAGGATTGCTTGACTATTCTGGCTTGTTTTCCCATATAAGTTTTAGGATTTTTTTCCATTTCTGTGAAAAATGATTTTAGTATTTTGATATGGATTGTATTGAATCTGTAGATTGCTTTGGGTAGTATGGTAATTTTAATGATATCAATTTTGATACACAAACATGGGATGTTTATCAATTTGTTTGTGTCCTCTTCAATTTCTTTCATCAGTATTTTGTAGTTTTCCTTATAGAGAACACACCACCTTCACTGTTAAATTTATTCCTGGGTACTTTATTTTCTTTAGCATTGTAAATAAAATTTCCTTCTTGATTTCTTTTTTGGATATTTCATTATTGCTATATGGAAATGCTCCTGTGTTTTAATGTTAATTTTGTATCCTAAAACTTCACTGTATTTATCACTTCTAAAAGTTTCTTGGTAGAGTCTTTACATTTGTGTAGACATACTATCATGTTGTTTGCAAAGAGGGACAGTTTTATTTCCTTTTTTCCAATTTGGAAGTGTTTTGTTTCTTTTTTTAGCACATAGAAACTAGCCATGTATTTAATTTTTTTTATTTTTAAATTTTCTAATTTTATTATCTCAATAGCTTTGGGGGTACAAATGGCTTTTGGTTACATGGATGAATTGTATTATGATGAAGTCTGAGATTTTAGTGTACTTATCACCCAAGTAGTGTATACTGTATACAATATGTAATTTTCTATCACTTACCCCTTCTGACTCTTCCTTCTGAGTCTCCATAGTCCATTATAGCAATCTGTCTGCCCTTGCATACCCATAGTTTAATTTCCACTTGTAAGTGAGAACATACAGTATTTGATTTTTCATTTTTGAGTTGCTTCACATAGAGTAATGAGCTCCAGCTCCATCTAAGTTGCTGCAAAAAACATTATTTGGAGTATGTGCTGGTCTTGGCAGTTGTTGCAATGCAGATTGAACACCCAAAGCCCTGGACAAGTAGTTCTCATGCTTGCCCACTCTAAGCAGCAGAGACAGCATGACAGCACCATGTAAAGGTGTGGAATGGCCCCACTCTTTGTGAGTGAGCCCAAGCACTGAGGCCATGCCACCAGTGGGAGGACTATCACTACTCACAACCCCAGGCGGGTAGCAATTTTGCTCATTCACCCCAGTCCTTGGTAGCAGCAGCAGCATCTGTGGCTGCAGCGGTGTGCAGAGAAGAAAAGGGGGTACTTCTCTCTACAGAGGAGACTGAGCACAGAGGCCACTGTGATGGTTGAGGTAGAGTCACTTCCTCCAGCCTCAGAGGGTCAACTTTCAGACTCACCAACCTGGGTTTCTAGTTGCAGCAACTGCTGTGACAGAGTGCCAAGTGGGAGAGGGGATCATACTGTTTGCCTGCCAGTCCAAGCAAAAGTTTGTGCCACTGCTGGGAAAAGAATCTCTTTTCACAGCACCAGAGCTCTTGGGCTCTGGAAAGCATGTGCTTTGGTCATCTTTTGGTGTGCTGCACTGTTCTATTCTCAGGGAGTGGTACTCCCTATTGGCTAGAGTCTTGAGAATCCTGTGACACCTTTGGGTTCAGCCAGCACTGTACCACTGTAGCTGTAACACCGGGGGATATATGTTGGAGCTCCCAGAATGTGGAGATATGGAGGCTGTGGCTCCCCAGGGCAGGATACAGTCCCATTATGGCTATGCTCTCACAATGGTGCCCTGATCCAACCACTTAGGTGTCTGGGGTGTGAGCGACCAAGAACACATCCCCTGTCTGGTGTAATGCTCTTACAGGGTCTCCAGATTACTGACAATGGTAGTCAGCATTTCTGTGGGTAGCGGAGCTCTCCCTGTTGTTTGGATTGCAACTATTAATGGTGGTGATGTGGACTACTAACATTTCCTCACTTACTCTTTACCTGCAATAGCAAGCTCCTCTAGGCTTCAGCCAATGTCAGCTGAGCTGGCTACTGACATCCATCTTTTTCTGTGCTTCAGGTGTTTCCCATGACTTCTCTGCTGGACTCTAGTGTTCCTCTCCTAGATGCTTTATTTGTAGCATAATTGTCTATTCATAATTTGGTCCTTTGTTTTCTGGAAAACATAAATGTCTAATGTCTCTAGTCAGGTATTTTGAACCAGAATAAATATTGCATTTTTAAAAATGGAAGATCTATGTCACTCCTGCATCAAACAATGTTATTGGCACCATACTTCTAACAGCATGTGATCACTATGTCTCTGTGTCATGTTTTAGTAATTCTTGAAATATATTAAACATTTTTCATTATTATTAAATCTGTCATAATGACCTGTGTGTGCAGTAGTGTACTCAGTGATCTTTAATATTATTATTATTATAATTGTTTGCAGGCACCATGAACTGCACTCATATAAGACAGTGAACTTAATAAATGAATGTGTTATGACTGCTCCATCAACCCACCACTCCCATTTCACTTTCCCTCTTTTTAGTCTTCCCTCTTCTCTGAGAGACAAGAATATTAAAATTAGGCCAAGTAATGACTCTAAAATGGCTTCTAAATGTTCTGGTGGAAAAAATACAGTAACATATCTCTCACTTTAAATGAGAAACTAGAAATGATTAAACTTACTGTGGAAGAAATATTCAAAGCTGTGATAGGCTGAAAGCTGTGCTTCATGCACCAAACAGTTAATCAATTTGTGAGTGCAAGGGAAAAGTTATTGAAGAAAATTAAAAGTGCTACTGTAGTGAATTCACACATGATGAAAAGGCAAAACAGCCTTATTGCTGATGTGAAGAAAGTTTTAGTAATCTAGATAGATCAAACTAGCTATAACATTCCTTTAAGCCAAAGCCTAATTCAGAAGAAGGCCGTAACTCTCTTTAATCCTATAAAAGGCGAGGAAGCTGCAGAAGAAAAAGTTTGAAGCTAGCAGAGTTTGATTCTTGAGATTTAAGGAAAGAAGCCGTCTCCGTAAGGCAAAACAGGAAGGGCTGATGTGAAAGCTGCAGCATATTATCCAGAGGATCTAGCTAAAATAATTGATGAAGGTGGTGACACTAAACAACAGATTTTCAGTACAGACAAAATAGGGTTATATTGATAGAAGATGCTATAAAGGACTTTCATCGCTAGGGAGGAGAAGTCAGTGTCTGGCTTCAAATCTTCAAAAGGCAGGCTGAATCTCTTGTTATGGCCTAATGCAGCTAGTGACTTTAAGTTGAAGCTGAATCTAATTTGCCATTCTGGAAATCCTTGGGTCTTTAAGAATTATGCGGCCGGGCGCGGTGGCTCACGCCTGTAATCCCAGCACTTTGGGAGGCCGAGGCGAGCGGATCACGAGGTCAGGAGATCGAGACCATCCCGGCTAAAACGGTGAAACCCCGTCTCTACTAAAAATACAAAAAATTAGCCGGGCGTAGTGGCGGGCGCCTGTAGTCCCAGCTACTTGGGAGGCTGAGGCAGGAGAATGGCGTGAACCCGGGAGGCGGAGCTTGCAGTGAGCCGAGATCCCGCCACTGCACTCCAGCCTGGGCGACAGAGCGAGACTCCGTCTCAAAAAAAAAAAAAAAAAAAAAGAATTATGCTAAATCTACTAAGCCTGTGCTCTATACATGGAACAATGAAGCCTGGGTGAAAGCCCACCTATTTACAGAATCGTGTATTAAATATTTTAAACCCAATTTTATGATCTATGGCTCAGAAATAAGATTTCTTTCAAAATATTACTACTTATTAACTATGCACCTGGTCACCCAAGTTCTATGATGGACGTGTCCATGGAGATTAATGTTGCTTTTATGCCTGCAAACACAACATCTATTCTTTAGCTCATGGATTAAGGAGTAATTTAAGCTTTCAAATCTTATTATTTAAGAGATATATTTTGTAAGGCTCTAGCTGCCATAGATGTTGATTCCTCTGATGGACCGGGGCAAAGTACATTGAAAACCTTCTGTAAAGAATTCACCCTTCTAGGTGCCGTTAAGAACATTTGTGATTAATGAGGGGAGGTAGAAACATCAACATTAACAGGAATTTAGAAGATATAGATTCCAACCCTCATGGATGATTCTGAGAAGTTTGAGCCTTCAGTGGAGAAATTAACTTCAGATGTGGAGGAAATAGCAAAAGAACTAGAAGTGGAGCCTGTAGATGTGATTGTATTGCTATAATCTCATGAAAAAACTTGAACAGATGAGATGTTGCTTCTGATGGGAGAGTAAGGAAAGTGGTTTCTTGAGATAAAATCTACTTTTGGTGAAGAAACTGAACACGTTGAAATGACAAAAAGTTTTAGAATGTTATACAAACTTAGTTTATAAATCTGCAGCATAGTTTGAGAGAGCATTTACTTCAATTTTGAAAAATATTCTATGGGTAGAATGCTATGAAACAGCATTGCATGCTACAGAGAAATCTTTCATAAGAAGAAGAGTTAATTGATGTTGCAAACTTCATTGTTGTTTTATTTTTAAAAATTGCCACAGCCACCTGACTTTAAGCAATCACCACCTTGAACAGTAAGCAGCCATCAACATCAAGACAAGACCTTGGACCAGCAAAAAAAATTATGACTCACTGAAGGCTCAGATGATCATTAACATTTTTTAGCAATAAAGCATTTATAATTAAAGTATATACATTTTTAGACACATGCTGTTGCATACTTAATAGACTAATGTATAGTACAAACATAACTTGTATATGCATTGGGAAACCAAAAAAATGTACATGGCCTACTTTATTGTGATATTTGCTTTATTGTGTTGGTCTGGAACATGACCAAAGGTGAAGAGTAGCCTGCATGTACGGAGATCACACGGCAGGAGAGGAAGATAGAGAGAGAGGGAAGGGAGGTGCCAGGCACTGTTAAACAATCAGCTCTCACCAAACCTGCAATATCTCCTAAGTATGCCTGTGTCTTTGTTCTGTCAGAGTGATTGTTCTAAAACAAATATCTGAATTTCAGCTGTGTGGTAGATTGAAGGCAGCATAGGTCAGTGGTTCTCAAAGTGGGATCCAGGACTGCTAGTCATTCACAACATAAATTCAACGAATCTGTAAGGTCAAAACTATTTTCTGCTACCACTGGCATACTTAGTCATTGGCCAAGAGCAGCCTAAGGAATGCAAAATTTTAGCACAATGTAAATGGTGAATCCAGAGGTGTGGCAGCATGGAATATCAGTCAACTGTGCTCCCTGGAGCTGGCCATCTGAGTAAGAGATTTCCATGGCCACTACTGTAGGGGTGGGAGAGTATGCATGTGCTAAAGAACAGTGGGGTGCCCTTAGTGTGTGGTGGTGATGGTGGTGGTAAGTGAACAATAGGCTCATCTTCCATAGTAAGTAGTCATTACATTACATACAGCGCTGAAAATCAAGGAATAATAGTATAAGCATGTTATTATGAAACCTAGTAGTAAATACCACAATAAATAACTAAAATAATTTTAGTGACCACCTACAACAAGTTTTTTAAAACATGTATGCCTATAACTTTGATATAGAATAAACAAAACATATTTGGACAGGTCACTTACAAGTGGAAACCTCTTCAGTGAATTCCCATTACCTTGAGAATAAAATCTGAACATATTGAAGGCAATGCATGGTGATCTATTTCCTACTTCCCTTTTGAGACATTTCTGGTATTTGCTCTTCTATTGTCTAAACTCCAGCCACTCTGGAATCACCTAACCCTCAAAACACACATTTTTTGGTAACATTAGGATTTTGGACATATGGATTTTTTGTGCTCAACTGTAGTACATAAAACCAAAAGGAAGTTTTCTAGTTGACAGAGGAGATTCAGTATTTTGAATCCACCAAACTTGATTTGAATCCACCAAAACTTGATTACCTTAGTACTTATCCATACAAATGTAATGCTCTATCACACATTATTTGTAGAACTCCTGTGCTTAGGCACCTAGCAGTGTCTGAGAATTCAAAGAATGTGCACTAAATAGACTACCTAGAACAATCCTGGAACATACTGAAGCAGAGCTTTGGAAACCCAAAAACATAATGCTTTGGCCTTTCTACTGAGTAATTGAACTCTTAGAATATTTTCTTTATGTTCTTCCTATTGTACCACTATTGTCTTAATCTGTTTCTGTTGCTATAAAAGAATACCTGATACTTGGTAATTTATATAGAAAATATATTTATTTGGCTAATGGTTCTGCAGGCTATACAAGAAGTATGGGGACCGCATATGCTTCTGTTGAGTGGTGCAGGCTGCTTCCACTCATGACAGAAAGCGAAGAGGAGGCTGCAGGTGCAGAGATCACATAGCAGGAGAGGGATATACAGAGAGTGGGGAGGGAGGTGCCAGGCTCTATTAAACAATCAGCTCTCACGTGAACTAATAGAGAGAGAACTCAGTCATTACAGTATGGAGAGCACGAAGCCATTCATGAGGAATCAGCCACCATGACTCAACCACCTTCTACTACGCCCCACCCCCAACACTGGGGATCAGGTTTCAACATGAGTTTTGGAGTATCCAAACCACAGCAATTACCTATAAAATGAGGTAAATACTTAGATGCTCCCTTACCATCCTTCAAGTTCTAAAATGTTTGAGTCTATGAATGTCCAAACTATGTAAAATTAAACACCTCAAATGGGTACGAAATTTTATTTTCCTTCTTGTAATGGCTGCAGAGAGATCCATTCACTTAGTAAGCATTATTTAATACTTTATGATGTTAATTGAACTTTACTAGGTACTAGGGATATGATGTAAATGAGGTGAGAACACAAGGAACTCGCCAAAGAGAAGCTTAAGATAGATCGAGAAAGAATGACAAAAGGTTGCAAATATATAGACAGATTAAGCACTCATGTTCATATATATATATAGTTTGTTTGAGCCGGAGTTTCGCTCTTGTTGCCTAGGCTCGAGTGCAATGGCGCGATCTTGGCTCACTGCAATCTCCGCCTTCTGGGTTCAAGCGAATCTCCTGCCCCAGCCTCCCAAGTAGCTGAGATTACAGGCAGAAGCCACCAGGCCCAGCTAATCTTTTGTATTTTTAGTAGAGACGGGTTTCACCATCTTGGCCAGGCTGGTCTCGAATTCCTGACCCTCAGGTGATTCACCTGCCTCGGCCTCCCAAAGTGCTGGGATTACAGGCATGAGCCACCGTGCCCAGCCTCATGTTCATATTTTAATCAAACCACAGGCATCATTGTTCTCTCAAGTATAAAAACAATGCCAAAAGAAAACACAAACATGCACACACACACACACACACACACATGATTATCAATATAATATTAAAACATCTGGGTTTTTATGAAGGCTTGTTTGAACAGGGAGCAATGTGCCAGGGAACATATTAGGTGAAGTGATCTTTATAAGCAAAGTCATTGTTGTAAAATAAAAAGCAGTGCCTATGAGATGGAAAGGATCATGGTCAACTGAAAGAGAAGAGGTATGCTTAGAAGTAACAAGGAATGTTATTATGGAATGAGTGAAGAAGATAGGAAGCAGAGGAATGAGAGCATTTGATTGAAGGACAGCTTTAGATGTCCAGATTAGTAGGTGAGCTTTGACCTTACTATCAAAAAGGTAATCTCTCTAATTTTGTCACATCAAAGAAACCAGTTAGGTTTTTGCAACAATGCAGGGACAAGTTTAAGTGGAAATGGCATAGAAATGGAGAGCAAAGAAGAAACCAAATCGCATTTCAAGGAAAGAATTACTTTACTCAGTAAGTGATTTAATACAGTAAAAGAGAAAAATTAACAAATTTGCAAGGAGGTGTTCTCTGAAATCAAGAGGAAGATAGTACCAATGAGTACCAATGATTACATTCGGGGGTTTAAAAGGGGCCAGATTGGTAGAAAGGATGAAGAGGTAAGATCATTAAGCTAATTTTCAGGGTTTAACAGAGCCACTAGTCTTTTTTTTTTTCATCCTGGGAACAGCTAAGTGAAGATAGAAATATAAGTAAACATCTACACACTCCACTGATCTTAAGAGTTAATTAATTTAAAAAGACACATTATGGGCTGGGCACGGTGGCTCACGCCTGTAATCCCACCACTTTGGGAGGTCGACGTGGGTGGATCACGAGGTCAGGAGACCGAGACCGTCCTGGCTAACATGGTGAAACCCTGTGTCTACTAAAAATACAAAAAATTAGCCGGGCGTGGTGGCAGGCGCCTGTAGTCTCAGCTACTTGGAGGCTGAGGCAGAAGAATGGCGTGAACCCAGGAGGTGGAGGTTGCAGTGAGCTGAGATCGTGCCACTGCACTCCAACCTGGGCAACAGAGCGAGACTCCATCTCAAAAAAAACAAAAGAAAAAAAGGAAAGAGAAGACACATTATGTTCTTACTAAACCTAACAGTATTGAGCTTCAATTATTTTTGTATCTAATGTTCAACCATCTTCAAACTGCTTAATAAACTGCAAACATGGCAAGTGCTGCCTAGATACCTCACTAAACTTTCAATATAAGAATTAGTTATTGTACAAATACTATTATACAGCTTCAGGTTACCATTTTAAAAAGAAGATTTTTATTTAGAATGAAATCTTCTATCATATTATTTGTCTTGGCTTTGGGGCTGTGTCTGAGAAAGGATGAAGTACAAATTTTTTTTTAAATATGCATACAAATTTTTAACAGTTTTATATTTCTTATCTTTTCCCTGAACACACTGATGAAGTCTATTTACACTTATATCAAAGGTTGACTTTGAGGAATGAGGGCATTCATACTAAAAAAAAACAAAAATTATGGCATGACATATTCACACAATAAAGTTATTTTAGAAAATCATGGATATTATACTATATGAATTAGATGAAAACAATCCTCCAAACAGCCTTATTATTTCAGATATTTGGATCTAGTTTTTGGATACATCAAAAAAAAAAAGTTAAATCTTTAACTTCCATGTTTTATTTTAAAATATTAAAATAACAATAAAATGGGGTCATTCATCTCAAATAAGTCTTTCAGACTGAGTTGCAATGTGGTATCCCTATTTATAGAACTAAATTATTTGCTGATATCTTGCTCTCACTCTGCAAAAACTATTCTCAGTATTCTCTTATTTTGTTCATTAATAAATCTATATGCAGGAATAACCAGCATTCAGTTCATTTACCTAAAATGAACTTAAAAACCACAGTATTTGTCTCCTCCTTTCAGTACACTTGAATTTCTGATATTACTATTATTCAAAGTCTGTGAACCTGCCTACTTTGAACTAAAACAGTAAAACACACTAAATCTACATTAACTAAAAGGAAAAATAAAAGCTCACTTGTGCTATGCATGTTTTCTTCATAATGTATTCATTTAAATGCAGATGACCCAAAATAATAAAAAATGTCTTCCCCTAGATAGTCACGTATATTACAATGATGGAGTGATTAAGACGTTGCAATTTGGGCCTCATTGGGTCAAGATTTTGGTTTCAAATCTGTTATCAAATTTTTGTCTTTAGAGCTTTGTTTACATTAAAATTATTAGTTGCAAAGGACTTTACCTGACTTAGAGTTTCACAGAATAAAGAAGAAACTGAGTATGTTTAGTAGTTATGGATGCAAGTCTAACAATTGATAGAATTTAACCTATACTGCCCCTTAAATACATAGAAGGTAACTGAATTGCAAAATAAGGACCCCTAGAAAATCTGACTTTATAAAAGAATAATGAGGACCAGTCACTGGGAATAGCCTTTAATGTAACGTTGGAAAAGCAGCAGTGGTGTTTAAAGTCTAAAGCATAGAACCTTCTGATATCTTTTTTAACACACAGTAATTTTAGCAAGTATATAGAAATCTATAGTTTCTTCATTTTTTATATTGTTCCAAAAGCAACAACTAGCTTTATTAAACAGTAAATATTTTTATATCAATTGAAAACAGTCACCATATATAAATCAATATGCTATTTTACTCAGACATGTTAGGAATCTAACTGTGATGTGAACCAATATCTTCTGTGTGATGTCTCTGTATTAAAAATAATAATGTATATATGCATATTAAGAAGAGGAAATTCACCTTTAAGGATACGTTTATAGGAGGAATACAATTCAGGATAAATGTTAATAACATTGAATACCTTGTTTTCAGCTGTTTAATGTTATCTATAGTTGATATTAATGATTGCAGCTTTGTGTGTTTCTTTTATCTTTGATCTCTATTATTGGTTAAATAAATTCATCTGGGGGTCAGCCTTTTAGCTCAGAGAACCTTTCTATCTCACTGTTTCTGTGTGTATTTTAAGATCACAGAAGCAAATATAATTGGCAGTAGATTAGGTTCAATTTTATAATCTATATTTTTCTACAAATGCATCTTAGTATAATATTTGTGACACAAAGCGTATAAAAATAAAAACTTAAATTTTAAAATTATCTTTTAGAGATAACATGAGAAAGATTTTGAGGTGATGGTAGTATTCTGTATGTTGATTGTGATGATTGTTATACAATCTGTGAATGTTTGTCAAAGAAAAGCTAGAGCTGGATAGCAGTTAAAGCAGTAGAACATATTTTACCCAAAAACTACTGCAATAAGGGGGAAAAATATCTCAGAATAGAACTGAAATCAATTCTAAATACAATAAAGAAAAGTGGAAATTTACAGTCAAGAATGTAGGGGAGAAGGTGTAGTTGGAGAGAAATTACTAATCGAAGACATCAGGGATAAGGGAGGATTCTGGCTAAACCTACCTAACATGATTCTTGGTGAGGTCAGACAAGCCATCAGATATCATTTGGAGGATTGCTAGGGATGAGGAACACAATCAGATGTAGAGTAGGGGATTCTGGCTAAACTGGCTTAGCAGGGTTTTGGCTAAAATTGGGCAATGCAGAGAAGAACATGAAAACCCAGGAATCGAATCCTAGTTGGGAGGACAATTCAGAGAAGCTTGAATGGAGTTTTGTCAAGGAGACTCTTATTGAATATCAATCAAAATTTAATGTGCAATAATTTTAAAAATAAAATAATTTTTTGAAAACCTATTTTATGACTTTTATGTTATTTGTTTGTTTTATTTATTTATTTTGAGACAATCTCACTCTGTCACTCAGGCTGGAGTTCATTTTTTTATTTTTAAAGGAATATATATTAAAGCAACTTTACAAGTTCAGATTTATAGGGAATTAAGTGCTCACATTAGTTCAATAGTTTAATATTGTGATATGAATAGCTAGAAAATATACCTATACAAATTTTTTATGGCTCTTGTATTTCTTGAACAAACATGACTAATTTTGCTTTGATAATTTATATTATCAAATAATTTCCCTGTTATTTATTCTTTTTCTAAAAAGTCAACTGAATAGCCAAGATAAATAGTAACTTTCTAATTGTTTCTAGCCCCGTAATCCCAAATATCATATAATGTATTTTACACACACACGTACATGTGTGCATACACATGTATATATGTATATCTATATACATACAATACAGAATATAATTTCATAATGTCTGAAATGTTTAGAAAACAGAAATAAAGCATGCTATTAGTTGAAGGACAAGTAAAAAAATTCAATTTATCTCAAAACAGAAAAGAAATAGTTGAAAAACAAATATTTTAGTAGTAAAATAGCATAGTTGGCTGGTGAAGAAACAAATGTACAACAATCACTAACTTTTCTACGTATCAGAAATAATCGGTAGAAATATTAAGTAGGGACACAGCACATTAGTATAAGAACAAAATATATTATCTAACTAGATAGCATCTTAAATAAAAATACTTAAAACCTAGTTGAGGAAAATTCAAAATTAATTTGTAATTTGGAGACATGAATACATTTTAGACATTTAAAAATGTTAACTATGTAAGGCCGGGCGCGGTGGCTCACGCCTGTAATCCCAGCACTTTGGGAGGCCGAGGCGGGCGGATCACGAGGTCAGGAGATCGAGACCATCCCGGCTAAAACGGTGAAACCCCGTCTCTACTAAAAATACAAAAAATTAGCCGGGCGTAGTGGCGGGCGCCTGTAGTCCCAGCTACTTGGGAGGCTGAGGCAGGAGAATGGCGTGAACCCAGGAGG
This sequence comes from Homo sapiens, assembly GCF_000001405.40. NCBI lineage: Eukaryota > Metazoa > Chordata > Mammalia > Primates > Hominidae > Homo > Homo sapiens. The sequence continues at coordinate 89,217,264 of NC_000023.11, read as the reverse complement.
CGGAGCTTGCAGTGAGCCGAGATCCCGCCACTGCACTCCAGCCTGGGCGACAGAGCGAGACTCCGTCTCAAAAAAAAAAAAAAAAAAAATGTTAACTATGTAAAGATATGCCATATTTATTAACTGAGAATTAATTAAAACTCTTACCGTAAGAAATGTTAGAAACACAATTTCAAAAAGTTAAGCAAAAAGTGAAATCTGTTGGTTTAATATCCAAACTACATGATGGAAAGAAGTGAAACTAGTCTCAGAAATTATAGGAACTATGGACTTAAATGCCGTCAGGACTCTGATTATCTTAATGTGCTTTGTCTCTGCCTGTTAGCAGCAATGGGATTGCCAATGGCACCTGACTCACAACCTTACAGGTCCAGAAACAAGGGAGGAAAGATATTTTCAGCACCAAATCTATGAAATAGATTTTTAGTTTATAAAATGAGTGGAAATAGGGCCAGGCACGGTGACTCACGCCTGTAATCCCAGCACTTTGGGAGGCCGAGGCATACGGATCACGAGGTCAGAAGACCGAGACCATCCTGGCTAATGTGGTGAAACCCTGTCTCTACTAAAAACATAAAAAAAAATTAGCCAGGCATGGTGGCGGGCGCCTGTAGTCCCAGCTACTTGGGAGGCTGAGGCAGGAGGAGAATGGCCTGAACCCCGGAGGCAGAGCTTGTAGCGAGCAGACATAGTGCCACTGCATTCCAGCCTGGGCCACAGACTGTCTCAAAAAAAAAAAAAAAGTAGAAATCTGTTTGAACCACATTAATAAATACTTTATGAACTACCACTGAGATAGGATGGTTGATTAACATTAAAAAATGGAAAATCCCATTCAAACTGAAAGTATAGGCTGGGGGAAGAGAGGGGAAGGTTACCAAAATAAAGAAGCAAAACATTTATGGTTACTAGGAAAATTGTGGAAAGTTGGACAACAACCCCAGATTCTGATTTTTGTATAGCGAAAGATTGCATATTGCAAGTATGTTAATACTTTAAAATCAACAACAACAAGTTTAGTGCAATTTCAATAGGATTTTTGTTGGTAGTATGGCAGTAAGGAGGGAATTTTAATATAATTTTTTTTGAAGAGGGTGTGGCAGTGAGGAGAGAATTTAGAAAAAAAAAGATCCTATAAGATATTTGGAGGAATAACTATGGAATATAATCTTTTGTGTCTACATCAGATCATTGTGTTTTCGGATACTAAGACATATGGGAAACTAATATATGACAAATTCAGTGGCTGAATTTAACAACGAAAGATAAACTATTTTATGCATTTTAATAGCATATATGCTTCTTTAATCTAGAAATAAATGAAAATGAGACTCTCTATCTTATAGAGGAAACAAAAATAATCTCCAGATGTACTAAAGTTTAAAATGTAAATATTAAAAAATCTTGCAGGAAAATCTAAAAGCCTACACGTAAAATTGAAGGGTGTTGGAGTCTTCCCTAACCAAGATAAAAAAATGTAAAGTTAAAAGGATATATGTTTGAATTTTATTTTTTAAAGAAAACAGTCTTTTGAGGCAGACTTGTCTCCTAAGGCATAACTTTATTTTGGCCTGTGAGCTCTTATTCACCTGGGGATACTGGCTACTCAGATTGTGCTAATTTTTCAGGGCCAAAAGAACTACTTCCAGAGAGGAGGTGAACAAGTTCTGTTGTGAAAAGCCCAGGGGCCATAGAACCATAGTTAATCATTCACTTAACCAAACAACTCTTCAGGTCTGTGTTTCAATTTTAAATCCTCAGAAGACCATAGTAGACCACTAACTGGGGGAATGGAAAAAGAGAGTGGAGGCGGGTAAATAACACTCCAGTTAGTAGCAATCCTTCACCCCAGCAGTGTTTTATACACTGCTCTGATATTAGAATTATTTACACTTGCATTAGCAGTGTGGAAATAAATGAAGACCAACCAAATGAAAACAAACAAAGGCTGTTTATTTAGAACTTGCTACAGTAAGGAAGTCAACCAACATCACTTGATTTTGGCAGACTCAGAGATATGCAGGGAAGTGGAAAAACTATGATAGAAAAAGGGAAAGCATCAATTATGTTCTGATTGGAGGTTGTTGGCATGAAAAAGCTAGAGGCATGCTAACTAGAAGTGGGGAATCTTAGGTGATTGATTGGTTTGGGGAGCATATTCAGCTTTCTCTTATTAGTCCCTAGTCCAAAGCTGGGAATAAAAAATAGGGAAGCTTGCAGTCCCTGATCAAGTCCTGACTATTCTGGGATGATTGCTATGTAAGTGGTTTGACTTCCTGGGCTGCTTTCAGTAGAGGCTGTAGGTCAGAGTTCTGTTTTCACACATGATCTGGGATAGTCCATTTGTCTATTCAGTCAGTGGTCTGAGTTATTGCCTCAGGATTACTGTAGTGAAGAAGCAGATATTAATTGTTACAAAGGAAATGGCAAGGAGAATGGAAGAACAAAATTCAACAGTTTTTTCAAAAATTTATTCGTTTTCACATTCCACTCTGAATGAGAATCATCTGATAGGCTTGTTCTAACAGTTTACTGGCCACCACAGCCAGGTGTTCCGATCCAGTAAATCCAAGGCGGGGCCCCCATATTGGCATTTTTAACAATTTCCCAAGTGACATTGATGCTGGTTGTCTGGAATCACACTTTGAGAACCACTACTCAAATTTATTATTTCAGAGTTGAACCTGATGCCTCTTGCTATAGACTATAGACACGTACCTTTCTCCTGCAGAAAGTTAAAACAGTCTTTTGACATCCGGGGATTTTTCTCCTTGTTGTTGCAGATTTCTGTATTCTATATTCTTTCTATAATTTGCCAGAGTTTATATTTTGGGAGGAGAGAACCAAGAACTCAGGTTAGTAATTATTTTGTCAGAAACCAAAACTACTCTAGAAAGACAAAAAGTTACTTCTGTAATGCGTACATAGTTCTTTTAAATTGACGAGGAAAAAATGTAAAAATCCCAATAGAAAAGAATGGGAAATAGATGACTAGACACTTCAGAGATGATCAACCCAAAATGGTAAACATTCCACATGAAAAACATTTTAAATTTACTAAGTCAAGGAAATCACAGTTAAAGTGATTAAGAGCTATCATATTAGTCTCTTCCAATATAAAATAGTAACACATTTAATATTGGCAGATATGTAGGGGTCTTTGTATTTTAACACCCTGATGAAAAAGTGTGAAGATTTGGATACCAATTTGTAAGAGTGTATATACAAAGATATTTATTGCAGCATTTTTTTGTAGGGTCCAAGAACTGAAAATAAAGTGACTGTCATTCTAAGGTAACTGTATAAAATAAAATTAAGGTGTGAAAAGAGTTCAGATACAAAGAGACTTGAATTTTTTTATAATTGCTTTATTTTTGAAATAAAAATAAATAACACCTTTAATTCTTAAATTAATCTGGGATGTATTGTTTATACTATTAGTTTTTATTTTCTCTAAAATGTATTTATGAAACCAACTTGATTGCATATACTAAATTTTCAGTTCGAATATCTGATAAGAGATGTCCCCAGGGCTTTTTAATAACGTATACCTTGTAATCATAGAAAAAATGGAAAAAACAAGGTTATTTTGATAAATTTTATTTATTTATTTTATTTATTTATTTATTTATTTATTTATTTATTTATTTATTTATTTTTTAGATGGAGTCTTGCTGTCACCCAGGCTGGAGTGCAGCAGCACGATCTTGGTTCATTGCAATCTCCACCTCCCGGATTCCTGTGATTCTCCTGCCTCAGCCTCTCGAATAGCTGGGATTACAGGCATGCACCACCACCACCTGGCTAATTTTTGTATTTTTAGTTGAGACGGGGTTTCACCATGTTGGCCAGGCTGGTCTCGAACTCCTGACCTCAGGTGATCCGCAGGTCTCGGCCTCCCAAAGTGCTGGCATTACAGGCGTGAGCCACCATGCCTGGTCAATTTTGATAAGTTTTAGTAACTGAAAATGTATAAGTTTTATGTCATAAATCACTGTGAACTGAAAGCCAATAAATCAATAAAGTGAAAATTCATATATTTTAAAATTATATGTCTTTGTTGGCCATTATATAAAGCATTTTCTGATCACTTACTAATTTATCTATTTAAAAAATACTTATTGAGCAGCTATTACGTGCCAGTCATTATTCCAAAAGTTGGGGAAACGGTATTGAACAAAATAGAAAAATAAAATTTCTGTTCAAAATATAGTGAAGAGACACAAACAAACAAATATATTTGTAATATATAAGTCAGAAAGTGATAAATATTAAGAAGAACAATAATACCTGAAAAGACAGTAAGAGGTACTCTGAGGTGGTTATACCTGGGAGAGGAAGAGATTGCAGTTTTAAATACAATGGTCAGGGAAGATTACACTAAATAGGTGACATTTTGAGAAAACCTCTGAAGGAAAAAAATGTTTTATGTCCTATGCCTATGCAAGATATCTTAAAATGTTTTTAAAGTTATTTTTCACTCCATAAACACATAGCACATTGGTAAATGATCATTTGAGGCATTTATGTGTCTCTATCTCACCCAGTATGCAGAATGTTACTTTTTTTCTGATATAGTGTATTAGTCTGTTCTCATGCTGCTGATAAAGACATACCAAAGACTGGGTAATTTATAAAGAAAAGAGGTTTAATGGACTCACAGTTCTGCATGGCTGGGGAGGCCTCACAATCATAGCAAAAGGCAAAGGAGAAGCAAATACATGACTTTACAGGGCAGCTGGCACAAGCACATGCAGGGGAACTACCCTTTATAAAACCATCAGATCTCATGAGACTTATTCAGTATCACAAGAACAGCACAGGAAAAATCTACTCCCATGATTCAATTACCTCCTACTGGGTCCCTCCCATGACACATGGGGATTATGGGAGCTACAACTCAAGATGAGATTTGGGTGGGGACACAGTCAAGCCATATCATATAGGGAGGACTTCTTTCAAGTGGGAATTTCATCTTCTGCTTTTAAGAAACAAAAGGGAGAAGGAAGATCAGAGCATTTTTCTTGAATCTGCTGTTTTTTAAGTGCCTTTAACTGAAATTGCCAATATGCCAGAGTGGAATATTTTGGGATGTTGTATTCTGTCATGAAGTAGGTTGTACCTGTATTATTAGCTATATTTTATACATTTTATAAAGTTCTAAATTGAATACATTGAACATTTAAGAGATTAATGACTTGGCCAATGTTAAAAACATAGAAAGTCAAAGAGCTTGAAATTTGAATGATCAGAATTAGAAATAACTGACCCTAAATTGTGTGCTATTTCCAATAATGCCAAAAAATGTGATTGTATTATTTGTCTAAATGAAGGAAGTGTATAACTAGCTAAACTACTTCTTAAACACTTATTTAATTTATATTCAAATCATTAAATAAAACTGTCAGTGTATTTATCCAGAGAATTTTTCTCCCTTTGCACTGTCTGAGAGAAATGAAGGGATTTTTCCTTATTTTATTCCTTCAGCCTTTCAATACAGAAAGGAAGTTTTTATAGAAAACAATTTGCCTGAGAATATGATCTGAGGCCAAAAACTTTGCTGAAGGCACTGTAGGAGTGAGACCTCAGCCTAAAACATGTAATTTTGAATGCGCTTTTACTAGCATTTTGTACATAAAAAGTTCTCGAAGCTAATAGTGAATATGTACATAATCTTGTCAATGATGTTCTGTAGAAAAAACAGCATATATTAGCAACTACATTATATACGGTCATTTAAAGTGGGTAATTAAATTATTATAACAATTATTGTTTCACATGTAACTTCTGATGTCAAAATACAATGCTTTCAACTAAAAGAGAAAACTCAATAGCTATTATATTAACAATCATTGCTTACACAGAAAAAGCATCTCTTAGTTTTATACTTATTACAAGATCAGAAATATGAAGTTTTTGAAGCTTTGAAGAATTTTTAAAAATTGTATTAGAATTATCTCAATTAGGAGGTTTTAAATTTAATGGGTGGACATATTTTTACAATTGCAGTAGAATGGCTAACACATTTCTTAAAGTATACAATGTAATTAAAAGTTACTTTACCCAATTCGTAATGTAGATAAAATTCCAAATTTTGATGCCATATTTTTGCAATAAATAAAGTGTCATAAATCAACATAATAAATTATAGAATATAATGCCACAAATTATTTTAGTTTTTCTGCATTAATTTGACATGTTTGATCATCAGCTGATGATATCCAGATGATCAGTCCTGCCATGCTTTTGATAGATAAGAAAGACAACTCCAATTCTAAATGTAGCTAAATCAAGTTCATTTATCCCTGTCATTCAATTGATGTAAGAGGAGGAAAAGTCTGAATTAAATCCAATTTTCTGACTTAAAAGTTATTTTATGACTCACATCCACCTCTTCTCACAGCAAGTGAATTGGTTGTTAGTCATAATGATCTTTTTAAATATAACAACTTGAAAGAGTTGAACTTTTTAAACCAACTTCATAGATGATTCCCAAGTATTGTCTGTCCAATGGAGAAATTAAGAAAATTTAGGCATCCTGTACAAGGGTAAAGATTGTTCACTGTCTGACTTGTGAATTATGGCCTTGAAATCAATTCCAATAAATGGTACTTACATTTAACTAACCATTTCAGGAACAAGAATGCTGCCTGTTCTTCCATAGCCTTATACTCCTCAAAAACATTTTATCTAAAGAAAGTATATGTTGAAGGAAATTGAAGTGTTTTTACCTAACCCCGTTTCCTCAGTTACCTAATCTGCACATTGAAGATAATAACAGTAACTAACACACCTGTAAACAACTTAAAATTGTGCCTAATGCAGAGTCTGCATTCAATAAATGCTAGTATGGAATATATTGCAGTCTAGGGCAACACAGCAGTTACAAGAAATCCTAGATTCTTCTCACAGTTTGTATGACTAGATCAGAGAGGTGTATCTTGGGGGCATATTCAATTAATACAACAGGAAAATATTTTCAATAGTGACTACATTTTCAATCAAAATGGGAAATACATAGCACACTGTCATCACTAGCCACCCACCCAACTATCTATGTTCATGTAACTTTTCTCCATTTAAAGAAGACATAATCTCCAACTCTTATCTCAATGTAGCATGCCACTACCATCTATTTGAATATGGAACACAAAATGAAATCTATTTTCCATCTTTGACTTAAATGATCACATGGTAGTATGGAAAATGAAACCCACAAAAAGAAAGCCAGATATCTAGGTAGCAAATATTAATGATCCATTAATAAATGTTATTAATGATTTATTAATAATGTATTCATTACAAGATTCCCTCCCAACAAACACTAATATAAATGTTTTAAAGCCTGTGGGAAGAGAGACACTTCAGGTTGAACAAAACAAGGAAAAAGAGAAGATAGAGAAAACTAGCAATAGATTACTAAGGGGTGTCGAAGAGAAGCCACATACAAAAATTCTCTGGAACAGAGTATGGCACTCCTTTGGGATGTTTTAAAGGTTGTTTCAACTGGATTGAGATGAAGTGTCTAGTAGTAAATATTTCAAAAGGAAACACAGTTTATTACCTAGGAAAATATTCTGGTTGTGTTTTCTTATGGCATAAAATTATTATCTTACCACTGTGACCAGCAATTGTCTATTTCATGTCGGTTTGTTTTTGTTTTATTTTTCATATGAGTTTTCTGAGATCTAGTGCATGATTGCAGGCTAAAACATGAATCGGAAAAATGTTAATGTAATTGGCATAAAATGTTCAATGTAATGTGCAGGAAAATTGTATTCTGCAATAGTTTTTTTGTCTTAAAAGTTATGCAATATAAACTATTTTAAATTCATCCTTACCAAGTTATGCAAAGTGTTTTCCTGTATTCATTCACCTTTTAGGGTATTTTTAGCTTTCTTTGTTTCATGCTGTTTCACAATCATTATTCTAACTTAAAGTTTTGTGAATATCAGCTTGAAAAGAATGAAAAATGTTGGGAAATGGTGCATGGAAGGTTGATACAGAGGGAAAAAGTCCATTTCATATTTTTGAATCAAAGAATTATAGTGGCCTACTTTATACTAGATTTTAATTTCTATTATGTGACATTTCCAATGGAAATGTAATCTTTATAAGATAACAATAGTTTTGTTTGGTCTTATGCTTTAGAAAAGAGAATCGCATTGGAGTTAAGCAGACCGGGATAAAAATCTAAACTCTGGCACTGAAAAGCTCAATGATATGGATAAGTTATTAACTTTCTTTGAGCAACGTAATTGTAAGGAAGGTATAATAATTATAATTTTTTTCCCATATGAAAATGTGGTTTTCATATTTATATAAGATATGGCACATAAAACATTTTATAAACATTCCTCCTCTTTTGAAATCAGATTTCAGAAGGAAACAGAATCTAGGGAACTCCACAGATGATAACAGGTGAAATGCTAACATATGCAAAATTAGGGAAATACAACCTATATACAAGCAAGACAGATCTTTAAAATCCTATTGTTTGATGATTCTGTTTGCTGGGAAAATGTAAACCTGACTCACAGTGTGTCTCTATTACAGATGTATGGGCAAATAAATGGGCTAAGAAAGAAAAAAAAAGAAAATATTGGCTGGTTATTATCAGGGTTGTGTGGAGTAAGTTTGTTTCATGTTTGTTTGGCATTAAAACAGAATGCCCAACTCTGCCTGGGTAAAATTTCCATGAAATTCAATAAACATTTATTAAATATATTATATAAATATATATTTAATGATATATATAAATATAATATATATGTCGGTATTTAACGATAAATATAAATATAATATATACGTCGGTATTTAACGACACCTATAAATATAATATATACGTCGTTATTTTACGACACCTATAAATATAATATACACGTCGGTGTTTTACAACACCTACAAATATAATCTATACGTCGGTATTTTACGACACCTGTAATATGTATGTCGGTATTTTACGATACCTATAAATATAAATGTCGGTATTTTACGATACCTATAAATATAATATATACGTCAGTATTTTACGATACCTATAATAAATATGTCGGTATTTTACAACACCTATAAATATAATATATACGTCGGTATTTTATGACACCTATAAATATAATATATACGTCGGTATTTTACGACACCTATAATATATACATTGGTATTTTACAACACCTATAAATAAAATATGTAGGTCAGTATTTTACGACACCTATAATATATACGTCGGTACTTTACAACACCAACAAACATAATATATACGTCGTTATTTTATGACACCTACGAATATAATATATATGTCGGCATTTGATGACACCTATGAATATAAGATATACGTCGGTATTTTATGACACCTATAAATATAACATATACGTCGGTATTTTACGACACCGACGAATCTAAGATAATAATATATATGTCGGCATTTGATGACACCTAAGAATATAAGATATACGTCGGTATTTCACGACACATACGAATATAATATATACGTCGGAGTTTCACGAAACCTACGAATATAAGATATACGTTGGTATTTCACGACACTGACGAATAAAAGATATAGGTCAGTATTTCACAACACCGACGAATAAAAGATATAAGTTGGTATTTTACGACACCGACGAATATAACATATATGTTGGTATTTTACAACAGTAACGAATATGACGTATATGTCGGTATTTTACGACACCAACGAATGTAACATATACATCGGTATTTTATGACACCTGCGAAAGTACGATATATGTCAGTATTTTACAACACCTGTGAATATAAGATATACGTCGGTATTTTACGACATCATCGAATATAAGATATACTTCGGTATTTTACGACACCGTCGAATCTAAGATATACGTCGGTATTTTACGACAGCGACGAATATAACATATCCGTCGGTATTTTACGACACCGACGAATATAACATATACGTCGGTATTTTACGACACCGACGAATATAACATATACGACGGAATTTCACGACATCTATGAATATAAGATATATGTTGGTATTTCACGACACCTACGAATATAATATATACGTCGGTATTTCACGACACCTATACTATATACGTCGGTATTTTACGACACCTACAAATATAATATATATGTCGTTATTTTACGACACCTACGAATATAATATATACGCCGGTATTTCACGACACCGACTAATATAAGGTATACGTCGGTATTTTACGACACTGACGAATGTAACATATACATCCTTATTTTATGACACCGACGAATCTAAGATATCTGTCGGTATTTTACGACACTGATGAATATAACATATACGTCGGTATTTTACGACACCGACGAATATAACATATACGACGGAATTTCATGACACCTACGAATATAATACATACGTCGGTATTTCACGACACCTATACTAAATACGTCGGTATTTTACGACACCTACAAATATAATATATATGTCGTTATTTTGCGACACCAGGAATATAATATATACGTCGGTATTTCACGACACCTATACTATATACGTCGGTATTTTCCGACACCTACAAATATAATATATATGACGTTATTTTACGACACCTACAAATATAATATATACGTCGGTATTTCACGACACCAACTAATATAAGGTATACGTCGGTATTTCACGACAACGACGAATGTAACATATACGTCGGTATTTTATGACACCAACGAATGTAACATATACGTCCTTATTTTACGACACCAACGAATATAACATATACGTCGGTATTTTACGACACCTACAAATATATATGTCGTTATTTTACAACACCGACGAATATAACATATACGACGGAATTTCACGACACCTACGAATATAATATATACGTTGGTATTTCACGACACCTATGCTATATACGTCGGTATTTTACGACACCTACAAATATAATATATATGTCGTTATTTTACGACACCGACGAATATAACATATATGTCGGTATTTTACGACGCCGACGATTATAACAAATACGTCAGTATTTTACGACACGGAAGACTATAATATATACGTCGGTATTTTACGACACTGACGATTATAACAGATACGTCGGTATTTTACGACACCGAAGAATATAACAGATAGGTCAGTATTTTACGGCACCTACGAATATTACATATACGTTGGTATTTTACGACACCGACGAATATAACATATACGTCGGTATTTTATGACACCGGTGAATATAACATATATTTCGGTATTTTATGACACAAGCGAATATAAGATTTATGTCTGTATTTTACGACACCTGCGATTATAAGTTATACACCTGTATTTTATGACACCTGCGAAAGTAAGATATACGTCAGTATTTTACGACAAGAGTGAATATAAGATATACGACGGAATTTCACGACACCTGTGAATATAATACATACGTCGGTATTTCACGACACCTATACTATATACGTCGGTATTTTACGACACCTACAAATATAATATATATGTCGTTATTTTACGACACCAGGAATATAATATATACTTCGGTATTTCACGACACCTATACTATATACTTCGGTATTTTACGTCACCTACAAATATAATATATATGACGTTATTTTACGACACCTACGAATATAATATATACATCGGTATTTCACGACACCGACTGATATAAGGTATACGTAGGTATTTTACGACAACGACGAATGTAACGTATACGTCGGTATTTTACGACACCGACGAATGTAACATATACGTCCTTATTTTACGATACCGACGAATACAACATATACGTCGGTATTTTAAGCCACCGACGAATATAACATATACGACGGAATTTCACGACAGCTACGAATACAAGATATATGTTGGTATTTCACGACACCTACGAATATAATATATACGTCGGTATTTCATGACACGTATACTATATACGTCGGTATTTTACGACACCTACAAATATAATATATATGTCGTTATTTTATGACACCTACGAATATTATATATACGTCGGTATTTCACGACACCTACGAATATAATATACACGTCGGTATTTCACGACACCTATGCTATATATGTCGGTATTTTACGACACCTACAAATATAATATATATGTCGTTATTTTACGACACGGAAGACTATAATATATACGTCGGTATTTTACGACACCGGCGATTATAACAGATACGTCGGTATTTTACGACACGGAAGAATATAACAGATACGTCGGTATTTTACGGCACCTACGAATATAACATATACGACGGAATTTCACGACACCTATGAATATAAGATATACGTTGGTATTTCACGACACCTACGAATATAATATATGCGTCGGTATTTCACGACACCTATACTATATACGTCGGTATTTTACGACACCTACAAATATAATATATATGTCGTTATTTTACGACACCTACGAATATAATATATACGCCGGTATTTCACGACACCGACTAATATAAGGTATACGTCGGTATTTCACGACAACGACGAATGTAACATATACGTCGGTATTTTACGACACCGACGAATGTAACATATACGTCCTTATTTTATGACACCGACGAATCTAAGATATCTGTTGGTATTTTACGACACCGACGAATAAAACATATACGTCGGTATTTTACGACACCGACGAATACAACATATACGAGGGAATTTCACACCTACGAATATAATACATATTTCGGTATTTCATGACACCTATACTATATACGTCGGTATTTTACGACACGTAGAAATATATTATATATGTCGTTATTTTACGACACCAGGAATATAATATATACGTCGGTATTTCACGACACCTATACTATATACGTCGGTATTTTACGACACCTACAAATATAATATATATGACGTTATTTTATGACACCTACGAATATAATATATACGTCGGTATTTCACGACACCGACTAATATAAGGTATACGTCGGTATTTCACGACAACGACGAATGTAACATATACGTCGGTATTTTATGACAGCAACGAATGTAACATATACGTCCTTATTTTACGACACCGACGAATATAACATATACGTCGGTATTTTACGACACCGACGAATATAACATATACGACGGAATTTCACGACACCTACGAATATAAGATATACGTTGGTATTTCACGACACCTACAAATATAATATATACGTCGGTATTTCACGACACCTATACTCTATACGTCTGTATTTTACGACACCTACAAATATAATATATATGTCGTTATTTTACGACACCTATGAATATAATATATACGTCGGTATTTCACGACACCTACGAATATAATATATACGTCGGTATTTCACGACACCTATGCTATATATGTCGGTATTTTACGACACCTACAAATGTAATATATATGTTGCTATTTTATGACACCGATGAACATAACATATACGTCGGTATTTTACGACGCCGACGATTATAACAAATACGTCGGTATTTTACGACACGGAAGACTATAATATATACGCCAGTATTTTACGACACCTACAAATATAATATATATGTCGTTATTTTACGACACCTATGAATATAATATATACGCCGGTATTTCACGACACCGACTAATATAAGGTATACGTCGGTATTTCATGACAACGACGAATGTAACATATACGTCGTTATTTTATGACACTGACGAATGTAACATATACGTCCTTATTTTATGACACCGACGAATCTAAGATATATATCGGTATTTTACGACACCGACGAATATAACATATACGTCGGTATTTTACGACACCGACGAATATAACATATACGACGGAATTTCATGACACCTACGAATATAATACATACGTCGGTATTTCACGACACCTATATTATATACGTCGGTATTTTACGACACCTACAAATATAATATATATGACGTTATTTTATGACACCTACAAATTTAATATATACGTCGGTATTTCACGACACTGACTAATATAAGGTATACGTCGGTATTTCACGACAACGACGAATGTGACATATACGTCGGTATTTTATGACACCGACGAATGTAACATATATGTCCTTATTTTACGACAGCGACGAATATAACATATACTTCGGTATTTTACGACACCGACGAATATAACATATACGACGGAATTTCACGACACCTACGAATATAAGATATACGTTGGTATTTCACGACACCTATACTATATACGTCGGTATTTTACGACACCTACAAATGTAATATATATGTCGTTATTTTGCGACACCAGGAATATAATATGTACGTCGGTATTTCACGACACCTATACTATATACGTCGGTATTTTACGACACCTACAAATATAATATATATGACGTTATTTTACAACACCTACAAATATAATATATACGTTGGTATTTCACGACACCGACTAATATAAGGTATACGTCGGTGTTTCATGACAACGACGAATATAACATATACATCGGTATTTTATGGCACCTGTGAATATAACATATATTTCGGTATTTTATGACACAAGCGAATATAAGATTTACGTCGGTATTTTATGACACCTGCGAATAGTTATACGTCGGTATTTTATGACACCTGTGAATGTAAGATATACGTCGGTATTTTATGACACCGGCAAATAAAAAATATATGTCGGTGTTTCACTACACCAACGAATAAAAGATATACGTCGGTATTTCACGACACCGACTAATATGAGATATACGTCGGTATTTCACAACACGTACGAATATAAGATATACTTCGGTATTTCATGACACCGATGTACGTCGGTATTTTACGATACCTATAATATATACGGCGGTATTTTACGATACCTATAAATATAATATATACGTCGGTATTTTACGATACCTATAAACATAATATATAAGTCAGTATTTTATGATACAAGCGAATATAAGATTTACATCAGTATTTTATGACACCTGCGATTATAAGTTATACGTCGGTATTTTACGACACCTGCTAATGTAAGATATACGTCAGTATTTTACGACACCAGCAAATAAAAAATATACGTCGGTGTTTCACTACACTGACGAATAAAAGATATACGTCGGTATTTCACGACACTGACGAATATAAGATATACGTCGGTATTTTATGACACCGACGAATATAACATATATGTCGGTATTTTACGGCACCTACGAATATAACATATACATCAGTATTTTATGACACCTACGAATATAACATATACGTTGGTATTTTACGACACTGATGAATATAACATATACGTCGGTATTTTACGACACCTATAAATATAATATATACGTCGGTATTTTACGATACCTATAATATATACGTCGGTATTTTACGATACCTATAAATATAATATATACATCGGTGTTTTACGATACCTATAAATATAATATATACTTCAGTATTTTACGACCCCTATAAATATAATATATACATCGGTATTTTACGACCCCTATAAATATAATATATATGTCGGTATTTTACAACCCCTATAAATATAATATATACGTCGGTATTTTACAACACCTATAAATATAATATATACATATGTATTTAACGATATATAAATATAATATATATGCACATATTTAACGATATATAAATATAATATATACATACATAAAGATATATATAAATATAATATATACATATTTAATAATATATAAATATAATATATAAATATACTATATAAATATATATTTAATAATATATATAAACATACTATATAAATATATATTTAATAACATATAAAAATATACTATAGAAATATATATTTAATAATATATATAAACATACTATATAAATATATATTTAATAACATATAAAAATATACTATAGAAATATATATTAATAACATAAAATATAATATTTAAATATATATTTAATAATATATAAAATATAATATATAAATATATATTTAATAATATATATAAATATAATATATAAATATATATTTAATAATATATATAAATATAATATATAAATATATGCTGTGGACAGAAGCACTCTGTGAGGCAACTGTAAAAGGAGGAAATGAATAGTAACTCCTTAGAGCCTATAAACTTTGTAAGCTTATGATTATAAATTTCTCAACAAAGTCAGAGCTTATAGAATGCATATTTTTATTTTTGCTCAATATTCAATACAATTTCAAAACTACTTATGATCCTGTGTTCTGTATCATAAATGTCCAGTTGTCCCTTGGTATTTATGAATAATTGGTGCTAAGGCGGCCCTCAAGTAATAAAATCTGTGAATGCCCAAGTCCTTATATAGAATGATGAAGTATTTGCATATAACCTATGCACATCCTCTCACATGCTTTAGATAATCTCTAGATTACTTATAATACCTAATACAATGCCTACACATCACGTCATTCACATGGATCCAAGATAGTACTCAGAGTGTGGCAAATTCAACTTCTGCTTTTTGGAACTTTGTGGGAGTATTTTGCTGAATATTTGTTTTTCTGATTTGGTTGAATTCACTGACATGAAACCCATGGCTGCAAAACCCACTCATACAGAAGGCCAACTGCATATATTGTTTGTAAGCAGTATGAATATATAAAAATATATATAATATATGTGCATATGTACATATCATATAATTTCTCCTTTGCACATATATCCAAAACTGCATGTATATAATTTCTTCATATATATATATGCATAATGTATATGATTTTGATATTTTACAAAGTTTCTTGAACTTTTAAAACATAATAATTATAGCACATGACAATTTCCATAGTTCAATATGTCTAGGAATAATTAAGTTTAGTTTTTCAGCCTTCCGCATAGGATTGTGTGTCTTTGGCCCTCTTTCACGATAGTTCAGATAATTTTTTCTCAATAGCACTTATGTGTTAGAAAGTGTATAAGTATGTTAAGTCTTAAAACCTTCTTGAAATGTGGGCTCAATAATTTATAGTACAAGTTTTATGTCACAATTAATTAGAATCTTAACTAGAATTATGAACTTTATTAGATCACTCTGGCATCAATTACTTATTACATAAAATTATAGAGTCAGAATAGTTTGGTGAAAGCACAAGTAACCAAATAAAAAAATAAATAAATAAAGCTTTATTAAAGTAAAAGCCATTTATACTACAAATAATAGCATCTAGAAAATAAAAATACAATCTACACAAAGGGAGAACATATCTGTAAACCGTATGTCTTATAAGGATCTGATATACAGAATATATAGAGAACGTATAATTCAACAATAAGTAGTCAATCCAATAAAAAAATCAAAGTGTTTTCCTTCAAATAAGCTATACAAATGGCCAATAAGCCCAAAATATAAGCTTAATATCATTAGTTATTAAGAGCATGCAAATCAAGTCTACAATGCAAAACTTCACAGCCATAATAATGAGTTTAATTAAAAAAATTATAATTTGTTTTTGAAGATATGGTGACATTGGAATGCTCATATGTTGCTAGTGAAAATGGCAAATTTTGCAGCCACTTTGGAAAACAATTTGGTAATTCCTGAAAAAGTTAAACATAAAGTTACCATATTGCCCAGCAAGTGTACTCCAAGCTATATTCGAAGAGCATTGAAAATATATTTTTACCCAATATCTTTATACACAATTATTCATAGCCACATTATTCATAAGAGCAAGAAAGTGGAAATAACCCAAATGTCCATCTAAAGAATGGATAAACAAAATATTTTATTATACAAACCATAGAATATTACTCAACGATAAAATGGAATGAAGTACTGATAAATGCTACTATAAGAATAAACATAAAAATATAAGAAGTAAAATAATCTAGACACAAAAGGCTATCTAGTCCATTTAGCAATTTACATGAAATGACTGGAATAGGCAAATCCACAAAAACAGAAAGTAGATTAGTTGTTGCCAGGGTCTGGGTGAGGGTGAGAATGGCACCTACTTTACTACTAATGGGTAAAGAGTTTCTTTTTGGGATGACAAAGTTGTTCTGCTATTAACTTGTGATTATGGCTGTACAACTTTGTAGGTATACTAAAAGCCACTTAAATGTACAATTTAAAAGGGTTAGTTATATTATATATGATTTATATCTCAATTAACATAAGTAAGTTGGTTTTCAAAATTTAACAGCAGAAGCCTTCCGATTTTTGATCAGACCTTATACAACCCTCCAATATACGCAGAAACAAATAAAAGTTGAGCTGCTCTGTTTGAAGTGGGAGATGTAGGATTCAGTGCTATCACACATGGCTTTTCCCTAGCCCACTAGAACAGTATAAAATGCTGAAGTCTCACAGAGTTTAAAAACTATTGGGTAAGCTGGACGTGGTGGCTCATGCCTATAATCCCAGCACTTTGGGAGGCCGAGGTGGGTGGATCACAAGGTCAGGAGTTCAAGACCAGCCTGGCCAAGATGGTGAAACCCTGTCTCTACTAAAAATACAAAAAAAAAAAAAAAGAAACAAATTAGCCGGGTGTGGTCGTGGGCACCTGTAATCCCAGCTGAGAATTCCTTGAACCCAGGAGACGGAGATTGCAGTGAGCCGAGATCGCACCACTACACTCCAGCCTGGGCGACAGAGCGAGACTCCATCTCAAAAAATAAATAAATAAATAATAAAAATAAAATAAAAACTATTGGGTAAAATGTCTTTTGAAGTCTCTTGTAGCTCTCAGAATCTGTTTATATAAATATAGTCTAGTTAGACAATTTCAGTTTAGTTAACAAGTCACTTAAAATGCAGTCTAATTCACGTGGTCACCAAATGCCTAATTTAGAAACAATTGACAACCACTTCATATGTGAAAAATAACATAAGAAATGCATAGAGTGATCTAACATTGTTTTTGTTTAAACAATCCGCACTTGAAAACATTAAACTTCTTCCCACTTTAATGAATCATTTTTTCTAGGTCATTAAATTATATTGATGTCTTAGGAAATATACGTGGAAAATTAAGTGAAAATAATTGTAAAAAATATACATACACATATATGTGTATATATATGATAATAGAGTTCTAACTGTAATATATTAAACACTTAAATCCATTAATATTATTTAATTTATAAAAAAGACATGGGCAAAATATTTAAAGAGCTTTTTCATAATAGATGTTATACAAATAGTCAATAAGCAGCACTATATAGTGGTATTTGAAGGTGAATTCTTTTTTTATGTTACTGATATTTAACTTTTAGTTTCAGCAGTACATGTGTAGGTTTGTTATATAGGCAAATTACATGAGGTGGGGGTTTGGTGCACAGATAATTTCATCACCCAGGTAATAAGTGCAGTACCTGATAGGTAGTCTTTTGATCCTCACCTTCCTCCCATCTTCCACCCTCAAGTAGGACCCAGTGACTGTTGCTCCCTTCTTTGCGTCCATATGTACTCAATGTTTAGCTCCCAGGTAAAAAGTGAGAATATGTGGCATTTGGTTTTATATTCATGTGTTAGTTCACTTAAGATAATGGCCTCCAGCTCCATCTATGTTGCTGCAAAGAACACATTTTCATTCTTCTTTATGAGTGTATAGTATTCCACAGTGCATATGTATCATATTTTCTTTATCCAATTGACTGTTGATGGGCATTTCGGTTGACTCCATACCTTTCCTATTGTGAGTATTCCTGTGAATAATAATCATATGCACGTGTCCTTATGGTAGAATGATTTATATTCCTTTGTATATACCAAATAATGGGATTGCTAGGTCAAATGGTAATTTTGTTTTAAGTTCTTTGAGAAATTGCTAAACTGCTTTCCACAAAAGCTAAACTAATTTACATTCCTGCCAGTTGTGTATAAGTATTCCATTTTCTCTGCAACTTTGTAAGCATCTGTTATATTTTTACTTTTTAATTGTAGCCATTCTGACTGGTGTGAGATGGTATCCATTGTGGTTGTGATTTGCATTTCTCTAATGATCAGTGGTGTTGAGCATTTTTTTCATATGCTTGTTGGCCATACATACGTCTTCTTTTGAAAATTATCTGTTCCTGTCCTTTGCCCCAGTTTTAATAGGGTTGTTTGTTTTTTGCTTGTAAATTTGTTTAAGTTTCTTATAGATTTTGGATATTAGGCCTTTGTTGGATGCATAGTTTGCAAATATGTTCTCCCATTCTGTAAATCATTTGATTACTCCGTCGATTATAGTTTCTTTTGCTGTGCAGAAGCTCTTTAATTAGGTCTTATTTGTCAATTTTCATTTTTGTTGCAATTGCTTTTGGAGTCTTCATCATGAAATCTCTGCAAGATCTTATATTCAGAATGATATTTCTTAGTTTATCTCCGAGGGTTTTTATAGTTTTGGTTTTACATTTAGATCTTTAATTCATTTTAAGTTGATTCTGGCATATTGTACCTTTGTTCTCATTAGTGTCAAAGAACTTCTTGATTTCTTCCTTAATTTTATTGCTTACCCAAAAGTCGTTCATGAGCACGTTGTTTTTAATTTCCAGGTAATTATATTGTCTTAAGTGATTTTCTTAGTATTGTTTTGGGGTGGAGAGTTTTGTAGATATCTATTGGGTCCATTGGATCAACTGTTGAATTCAGATTCTGAATATCATTGTTAGTATTCTGCCTCAATGGTTTGTCTAATATTGTCAGTGGGGTATTGAAGTCTCCCACTATTATTGTGTGCTTATCTAAGTTTCTTCATGGGTCTCCAAGAACTTGCTTTTGAATCTGGGTGCTCCTGTGTTGGGTGCATATATATTTAGGATAGTTAGCTCTTATTACTGAATTGAATCCTTTTACCATTATGTAATGCCCTTCTTTGTTTTATTTATTTATTTATTTTGGTTTATCATTTATTTTGTCTGAAATTGTAATAGCAACCTCTGCTTTTCACTGTTTTCCATTTTCTTGGTATATTTTTCTCCATCTTTTTATGTTGAGTCTGTGGGTGTCATTACATGTGAGATATACCTCTTAAAGACAGCATACCATTGGGTCTTGCTTCTTTTTTTTTTTTTTTTTTTTTCAGATGAAATTTCTCTCATTGCCCAAGCTGGAGTGCAATGGCTCGATCTCAGCTCTCAACTTCTGCCTCCCTGGTTCAAGCGATTCTCCTGCCTCAGCCTCCTGAGTAGCTGGGATTACAGGTATGTCTGGATACTTTTGTATTTTTAGTAGAGACGGGTTTTCTCCACGTTGGTCAGGTTAGTCCTGAACTCCCAACCTCAGGGGATCCACCTGCTTCGGCCTCGCAAAGTGCTAGGATTACAGGCGTAAGCCATGGCACAATGCCGATCTTGCTTCTTTATCCAGCTTTCAACTCTGTGACTTCGAATCAGGGCATTTTGCCCATTTACATTCAAGGTTAGTATTGATATGCATGGATTTGATCCTGTCATAATGTTTTTATTAGGCAGACTTGATTGTGTGGTTGCTTTATAGTGTCAATGCTCTATGTACTTGTGTGTTTTTGTAGTGGCTGGTGAGGATCCTTGCTTTCCATATCTAGCACTTCCTTCAGGACCTCTTGCAAGGCAGGTCTGGTGTTAACAAATTCCCTTACTATTTGCTTGTCTGAAAAGGATCTTATTTTTCTTTCACTTATGAAGCTTAGTTTGGCTAGATATGAATTTCTTGGTTGGAATTTATTTTCTTTACAAATGCTAAATATAAGCCCCCAGTCTTTCCTGGCTTGTAGGATTTCTGCTGAAAATTTAACTCTTAGCCTGGTAAGGTTCTCCTTGCAGGTGACTTGCCCCTTCTGTCTAACTGTCTTTAATATTTTTTCCTTTCATTTTTACCTTGGAGAATCTTATGACTATGTGTCCTGGGGATAGTATGTCATAGAAGTTCTCTGCATTTTCTGAATTTGAATGTTGGCATCTGTAGAGAGGTTGGGGAAATTTTCATGGACAATATCCTGAAATATGTTTTCTGAGTTGCTTGGTTTCGCTCTCTTTTTCAGGGACACCAATGAGTCATAGATTTGGTCTCTTTACATAATCCCATATTTCTCAGTGGTTTTGTTCATTCTTCTTCATTGACTTTTCTTTGTTTTTGTCTGAATTAGCCGATGTTTCTCCTGTCTGTGTCTAGTTGGCCAGCTTGCTCTACAAACTGAAGATGAATTTAGATTAGTTAAAAAATGTATATTTTAAATTTCAGGGAAATAACTAAAAAGTTCACTTGATTTTTTAAGAGAAGAGATAAAATAAGATCACTTAAAATTTTCAATTAAAATCAACTAAATCTGAAAAAGAAACATGAAGTATAATCTGCTTTACTCAAAGTCTACCAATTTAAATGTTAATCTCATTTTAAAAATATTCACAGAAACATCTAAAATAATGTTTGAACCAATATCTCAGTACTATAGCCTAGCCAAGCTGACACATAACAGTAACCATCATAAACTGTATGGGCTTAAGTCTGATAATTTAGATAAAATTGACCAATTCATTTAAAGACACATCCTACCAAAAACCCTCACACGGAGAAATAGCCTGAATAACCCTAGTGGTTAAATAATATAAATTTTTAATTAACACCATTCAAAAAAAGAAATTACTAGGGTCAGATGGTTTTACCAGTGAATTCTACCAAACACTTAAGAAAGAAATGATACAAATCCTCCACACTCTCTGCAAGAAAATAGAAGCAGAGGGAATACTTCCTCACTCATTCCATGCGGTCAGCATTACATTAATACCAAACTCAGTTAAAGACATTACAAGAAAAGAAAACTATAGACCCATATTTTATTAACAAAGATACAAAAATATTCAACAAAATGTTAGCAAATAAAATCTAACAATATATAAAAGAATTATATGCTAAAACCAAGTGGCATTTATTTTAGGTATGCAACACTTATTTAACATTCAAACATCAATTGATGTATTCCACTACATTAACAGACTAAACAAGAAAAATCATATGATTATTTCAATTGACACTGGAAAAACATTTGACAAAATACATCATCCATTAATGGTAAAAATTCAACAAACCAGAAATAGAGGGGAACTTTTCAATTTTATGAGGAACCATTACAAAAATTCTCCAGTTAACAATATTTAATTGTGAGAAACTATACACTTTTTCTATAAGATTGGAAATAAAATTAAAATGTCAGGTTTCAAAATTCTTATTCACCATTTTACCAGAAGTCCTCATCATTGTAATAAGGAATGAAACAATAATAAAATATATATGAATTAGAAAGAAAGAAAACTGTATTTATTTTCAGGCCACCTGACACAGAAAATCTCAAAGAATCAATAAATTCACTCTTGTAATTAATAAGCAAGTGTAGCAAGGTCACAGGTTATAAGGTTAATATCCAAAAGTCAATTAATTTCCTATATAGCACCAATAAAAATTTGAATTTAAAATTAGAAGAAAATAATATCATTTGCAATAGAATCCAGAAAATGTGATACTTATCTATAAATCTAACATAATGTATATTGAATATACATGTGTAAAACTATAAACCCTTATGAAAATTATCAACTAATATATAAATGGAGAAATATGCTGCGTTCATCAGTTGAAAGACTCAATATTGTCAAGATACCAATTCTTCCCAACTAAATCTGTAGATTCAATGTAATCCCAATCAAAACCCAAGCAAGATATTTTATAGATTGTAACATATTGATTTCAAATTTGTATGAAAGCACAAAAGACGTAGAAGCAGGGCAAAATATTTGTATGCTTTTCTCTGGATAATGTGTTTTTTTTTATAATGGCCTCATCTGTGAACCTAGAAATTAATAAAAAAGAATATTCCCTTTTTCTGACACAGACCTTACACTGTGCATAAAAATTAATTTGAAATGTATCATAGACCTGAATGCAAAACAAAAAAACTTTAAACATTCTAGAAGGTAACAAGAGAAAGTTTAGGTGATCTTAGGTTTAGCAATAGCCTCTGGTAAGTCTCTAGAGACATATTCAGGAAACAAAAAAATGATGCAGTTGGAATTCATTGCAATTAACAAGTGCTCTGTGAAAGACAAGCCACAGACTGGAAAATAATACATATTTTAAGTAGACTACGTTGTTTGTAAGCTATAATTGATGAACTGTGTGACCTTTTGTCAAAAATGAGGCTGCTTCTATGTGTGTGTATATATATTTCTTTTTTTTTTATTTTACTGAAATGCACTGTATGTATATATGATTGGGAGTACTTTAGAAAGACTGTAGTATTGTGAAAAATAATTAGTAGCAATTTATTTTGTTGCCAAGGAAAGTATAGACAAATAATGTTTCCTAATTGATATCTATCTTTTAAACAACCAATTAGTCCTATTCATTGGAAAACCTGGTGTATAGATTTTTGTTTTGACTTGCTTCTATGTGGATTCCTTTAAGAGAAAGCATCATTCCTTTTATTCATATTCAATTCCATTAACACTGAAATTACTCCCTATTTTACAAGTAAATAAATGCTGGACTCAATGGAAGGCTTAATAAAAAGACTATACAATGAACAGGAACATTTATTAAAGGTTGATAAATTCATCCACAGAAATAAAAACTGAATATAATGATATATACAAAAAGAAGATACTTGAGTACAGCAAGGTAAAATTCATTTCAACATTTACAATATTTTATTTGTGTTTCTATTTTATGGGCATTCTTAACAAAAATATTTCAAGGGTAAGAAAATCATAGATGTTCAAAAATACTTTTTAAATATTGAGAAAATATGTCTATACTAAATACTAATTATTGTTATTGGGTCTGTAACCAGTTCTCCTCCTGTTTTCAGTTTAACAGTCTTCCAATTCTTTTTTTTTTTTTTTTTTTTTTGAGATGGAGTCTAGCTCTGTCACCCAGGCTGGAGTGCAGTAGTGCAGTCTCGGCTCACTGCAACCTCCACCTCCTGGGTTAGCAATTCTCCTGCCTCAGCCTCCCGAGTAGCTGGGACTACAAGCACGTGACACCACGCCCAGCTAATTTTTATATTTTTAGTAGAGACAGGGTTTCACTATGTTGGCCAGCCTGGTCTCGAATTTCTGACCTCATGATCCATCCACCTCAGCCTCCCAAAGTGCTAGGATTACAGGCGTGAGCCATTGCACCCGGTCAGGTTTCCAATTCTCTATAGAAAAAAGTTATGAATGAGGAAAATTATTTTATGTAAAATAAAATGCTGTACATATATATAATTTAAATGGCCACATGGCAAGATTTTTTTCTAGATCTTACCTGAAATCTTTTCCACTTATCAAAGTCTATTGATAAACCCTGAACTGTCCGACTTAGCTTGATGACACTGCTATAGCCATGACTCAGTAATATATTTTCAATTTGGGCATCCAACATACAAATCAGGAAAGCTAGATGTATAAACACCAGCGGCATTTTGATGCCATAAGCTTCAAAATTACCTCAGATGTATGCAGCCATCTTTCACTCGTGTCTGTGTGGAGAGACCACCAAACAGGCTTTGTATGAGCAATAAAGCTTTTAATCACCTGGGTGCAGGTGGGCTGAGTCCGAAAAGAGAGTCAGGGAAGGGAGATAAGGGTGGGGCCGTTTTATAGGATTTGGGTAGATAAAGGAAAATTACAGTCAAAGGGGATTTGTTCTCTGGCGGGCAGGAGTGGAGGTCCCAAGGTGCTCAGTTGGGGAGCTTTCTGAGCCACGATGAGCCAGGAAAAGGACTTTCACAAGGTAATGTCATCACTTAAGGCAAGGACTGGCCATTTTCACTTCTTTTGTGGTGGAATGTCATCAGTTAAGGCAGGGCAGGGCATTTTCACTTCTTTTGTGATTCTTCATTACTTCAGGCCATCTGGGCTTATAAGTGCAAGTCACAGGGGATGCGATGGCTTGGCTTGGGCTCAGAGGCCTGCCACCATCTTTCACACTTCTTATCTTACTGACAAACACTTTATCAACAGCACTTAGAATGTTTGCTCCCCTAAAATGAGAAAGAGACAGTTTCTGATTTCAGTTTTTTTAAAATATATATAATTATAAATTTATAAAAACATTGCAAGTACCCTACAACATAATACCAACATAATGCCTCACTATTGCTGAATGTGTTAGTGTGAAATTTCTACAAGCAAGGGCATTTTCCTACATAACCACAATATAAGCATAGAAATCAGGAAATTAAAACTGATACTTTGCTGTCATCTTATTGTCAGACTTCATTCAAGTTTCATCAGTTGTCTCAGTAATATGCTTAATAATAGAAAGATCCAATTTAAGTTCATGTGTTACATTTAGTTGGTGTAGGAGAGAAAACAATTTCTTTCCTTTCCTTTTTTGGACTCCTTAGTCGAGACACAAGAAAATTAATAAAAGTCTAATTAATAAAAGAAAAACAAGTAAAGTTGATTAATGCGTGCTATTAATCCCATCATTCCCATCATATGAGAAAGGCCACAGTTCAAAAGTATTTCTCTCTCAAAGTGGCTGCTTAAGGGCCTTAATTAAATAGTATTTTAACAAAGAGCCATAAATCCTACATAGTGAGAAGACAAAGAATATAGCAGTTGCAGTCTTTTAAATGGTGGAAAAATGTGTAAATATAGTAAAATCAGTTTCCAGATTCCTCTGGTGCTTCTAGTGCCTTCTCTAGGCAGATAAGCAAGTGCTGTCTTCAGCAAAGAAAGATTTATGTCCTACCTGTAGTCATATTAATGCTGAGGCAGAGCGTTCCCCTGCATTTTCAAATGTCTTTAATTTAATAATCCCCAATATTTTGGACAAAAATATTTTTGTTTCCTTTATTGACATGTCTCTTTACTCTCCTTTATTTTTGAAGAGTTCTTAAATCTTTCTTTGATGTTCATTACCTTTGCACATTGGAAGATTACAGGCCAGAAATTTTGTAGAAAGTCTCTATAGTGGGTTGAATAGTGTTCCCCCAAATTCATGTTCACTGGGGACCCCAGAATGTGACCTTATTTGAAAATAAGATTTTTGAAGATGTAATGACTTAAGGATTGAGATGAGATCATACTGGATTAGGATGGGTTCTAATTCCTTAAAAGAAGAGAAAAAGACACACAAAGACACAGAGAAGCCGGCTATGCGAAGATCGTTAACAGTGGTTGGAGTGAAGGGCCTACAAGCCAAGGAACACCAAAAATTGCTTGGGGCCACTGGAATTTAAAGGAGGCAAGAATGAGTTCTTCTCTAGAGCCTTCAGAGGAAGCATGCCTCTGTTGACACCTTGAATTCAGGCTTCGAGCCTTAAGAATTGTGAGAGAATAAATTTCTTCTGAGTTAAGCTATCGAGGTTTGAAAATTTGTGATGGCAGCCCTAGAAGACTAATGCAGTCCCTTAATTTGGGTTTGTGTGATTCAAGTTATACATTTTTGGCTGAAAAATTACTGAAGTCATATTTTTCTCATTCTTCTTAGTTCATCTTCAGTGCACAGAATTTTGATTTATCCCATTCCTGATAATGTTCCTTTTACTTACTTGATTGAGGTGATATCTGCCAGTTTTCTCCACTGCAAAGTTACTTGTTTGCTTTTGTAATAAACAGGTGTTTTGTGGGGAGATGCATTAATACTGTGGAAAGATCCGTTTTGAAAACTTTCTCCACCAGCTTTAAAATTGGGGCTGAAATAATTATTAATATCATGGCAATAAAAAGGTGATTTTCACTTCCAATATTATGTCTACATTTTCACTAGTTGATCTTCTACTGTTAAAAAAGAGATTTTTCCCTCTCTGATTAATTTATTCATTTATTTATTTATATCACTATGGGCTCATGAATATTCAATGGGTTAAATTTATTATTATCGTTATTTATTTTGATGCTCAAATTATACCTAATTTGGCAGTGAAGCTCCTTCAAACTGGCTCCTATATTCTCTTGACATGTTCCCATCATTATTTGAGTACTTCTTTGCTTTCTAGCGTAACGCAATGTTCCAGGCTCATCTTGTTTTTTTTTTAACCCCATCTCAGTTTTGAAATTGGCCATTTTTTCTAATAAGCCCTTCTTTCTGCCAGTGGACAATGGCATTTAGAAAGCAAGATCTGGGTGCAGGTATGCTCACTGCTATTAGGTAGCACCGTTCCCAGACAAAGATAGGAAATATATGTATGTGCAAACTCACACGTACCTAAACTTTTATCTACCTCTACTCCATCTCTTTATATATTGAAAATGATTAGAGTTTATGCCAATAACTTTAATTTCAATATAAAACCACAGTGTTCATTCTAATGTTCTGCCTTTTCATATCTGTGACTGCCTTTTCTGACAGTGAAAATTATGACTTCTGTTATCTTAAATATACTTACTTGTTTGCTTAATCTGCTCTCTGTATAAGTAATCACCAATCACTGCTTCTAACGTTTTATCCCTTGTCCACCCACCACACGTTCCAGCCTGTTTGCCCACTTGGGTACGGATACCACATGCTGGGCCATTTGGTATCATAATTTGATACCAAATGGCCATAATTTGATCATCAAATTATGATACCAAATGGCCCAGCATGTGGCATCAGTACCCAGTACCATTATGTCCTTGTCCCCATGCATGGATCCCAATAGTCTGTCAGATCTCTGCATGGCTCTTCTCTCACTCTCAAAATTGCACAGATGACAGCCTTGTTTGGCCCCACCTAATGGCTTTTAGATTGCTTTATTCAGGAAGAAAGGCAGATGGGTTTTGGCTTTTAAAAACCTGTTCCATTCCTCCTTCCTAAGTACTATCTCCTAGCTCTAGAGCTTATTTATACTGTGCTGGATTGGTTTCCAGGTTGGAAATAAAACTTTTCTACTCAGTACTCAATCTTGATCTTTAAGAACCATTATTTTCTTTTAACATTGCACCTATATAAATATAGCAATTATTATATTTACCAAATTCACTATTAACCTGTTTTCAAAAGCTGTGTATTTACTCACAAAGGAGTTTCAATATAACCTGCTGAATTTGAGCAAATAATAATTCAGTAACCTAGTCAAAATTATTGAATCAGTATGACCAAAGCCACTGACTAGCTGCTGGTTTATATAGAAAGTTCTTTGCAACTGTAACCAAATTACCAACTTAAAAAGAGCCCTATCGGACAGACTGCTATACTTCTTTCATATGCCTGACTCTTTGAGAGGTGATGAGTTACTAATTCTGTGTTCAAAATATTTTGGGCTACTAACAAAATAAGAAATAAAGCTCAGTATCCACAAAATGGATAAATGTTTGTCGTAGAATCTCTTTTTGATTTCCTAAAGAAGATTAGGAAATCAAAGGTCTACATTCAAGAAAGAGTTTACAGCATAACACATCATTTCCTAACACCCAAGGGAACATCATGAGGTATGGGAAGTATGGGGGCTCTTGGTTTTCCAGGTGTAAGTATTATGTAATTGCTCATGTGGTAATAGAGAATAACAATATGCCTGCTCTGTTCGGATCATTTGTATATGTTATCCTTCTTTGCTTTGTGTCCTCAAGTTTGGCTCTCTCATTACAATACTGAAATAATTAAATCCAATATCCCGTTTCGTTTCCTCAAACAATAACAATTATAATAACAGCAGCCCCAAATGAATATTAGTATAATTAGAATGTTCAATAGATTGAGGAGAGGTATGAAGATTCGCCATTTCATATTTTCTATATACAGATTTTTATAACTCATAAGGCTGAGTGTCATATATAAGAAGGACATGGATTTTTGGATCCCAAAATATAAGTCTGAATCCGATATCTTCCATTTAGTATCTGTGGACTTTGGGCAAATTACCTCACATCTCCAGGTCTTGGTTTCCTCATTTCGAAAATATAACAGACAAACACACCTACCTACATAGCGTTATTGATCAATTCAATGACACATTGCATGTAAAGTGCCAGGTATTGTATCCCAGTTCCTTCTGCTTAGAACTTGGGGATTACATATATATCTATGTGCTTGAAAAAGAGAATAATCCAGGAACAGTTTGGCTGTATTCTCACAAGGAGTGACTAACATTGCAGATTTTAATCTGCAGGGGCTGCAGAAAATGAATTCCCATCCAGTTTAATATCATTATACAAATGGTTCAAAAGGAGTGTGGGAAAAATGAAGAACATGGTTGCAATAAAGGGCTAAAGGATAGGCCAAAAGGATTCTAGGCTTCTCTGACTTGTTTTGGTTTTTCAGTTTTAAGTGTGAAAAATGACTGTATTTCCGGAAAGAACTGTCACAGATGGTACAGGAAAAAGATTCCTGCTGTAGAAAAGATAAATCAATGCCCTGGGAGATAATTAGTAATTTAGGGAACTGGGAAGCACAAACTAAGATAGAAGCTCAGTTGGTTAAACTAAATATACCCAGTAGAAGTTAGACAGAAGGCTGTCTGCGGCATATGCACAGATTATGACTTCAGATGCCCTGAGATTGAGGCCATGATCTCATTCAAAACTCTTGTGTATTCATGAAAAAAAACCTCAAGGTTTTACTCTCATTAATTGAGAAATTGTGCAGAGATGAACCTACAGAAGGTAAATATTTTTATACCTGTGTCAGTCTATGGCTAGGGTATAGCTGAAGTGATTTGGTTTTTATTCAAATTTCAAAACTGAATTATCACTGCTACTTGTAAGTATCCCATAAAATCCTAACAGGCTCCAATAGAAGGATACAGTTCTATGAGACTCGCTGCAAAAACACTCTGCTTTGGCTGGGCGTGATGGCTTGTGCCTGTAATCCCAGCATTTCGGGAGGCCAAGGCAGGCGGATCATCTGAGGTCATGAATTCGAGACCAGCCTCTCGAAACCCGTCTCTACTAATAATACAAAAATGAGCCAGGCATGGAAGCATGCACCTGTAATCCCAGCTACTCAGGAGGCTGAGGCAGGAGAATTGCTTGAACCTGGGAGTCAGAGTTTGCAGTGAGCCAAGATCATGCCACTATGCTCAAGCCTGGGTGACAGAACCAGACTCCGCCTCAAAAAAAAAAAAAAAAAAAAAGAAAAAAGAAAAACCACTCTGCTTTAATGTGCTCACAAATTAGTTAGTGCTGTTTCTAGAGGTGTTGCCTAAAAACATGGTCCCAATTCAGTCCCCAAGAGCAGGTTCATGGATCTCATGCAGGAAGGAATTCAGACCAAGTCACAGAGCACAGTGAAAGAAGAAATTTTATTAGAAATTATTCTGATACAAAGTGGGGAGTCCTCAGAAAGTAAGAAGAGGAATACCCCATCTTTTGTTAGTGCCTCTACTTAAAAGAATCTATAAGGATATATAATTAAACTTGGAATGTGTCTACACGCTCACTAAAGGTAGGGGCTATTGGTGTTATCAATGACCATATTGATGACTATTAATCTTTTAACCTAAGCTTGCTCATTAATTTGTCTTTAAGTACAGAAGGCTACATCTTAGGACATCTGGACACTTGGCAGGCTTGGTGGGAGATGCTCTGTATGTCCACAATTATTCTGTAATTATAAGTGGTTGTCAGCTTGGAATGTGGCTATTTATTAAACCAGAGGCCTGGTACTTAGGGGTTCCTCTAACAGAGCTATCTTGTTTACAACCTAATTTACACTCAGGGAACAGTTCAAGTACAAGAGAATTGTTGGTAATTATGTACTGAAATCAGTTTCTGTTTAAGCTCAAATTTCTATCTAAGCTACACTAATATGATTTAAAGTGAACTTGCTATTATGCAATAATCTGTTAAGTTATATATCATTTATGTTAATATTGTAGAAGATTGTTAATGTTTAATATTGTAATATTTAATATATTAAAAAGAGGTAGATATTTTGTGAGGTATATATAAAAATTTAAGTGTATACTTTCTCAAAATATATGTAAACGTGAGTGACTATCTTTGAATACCTAACTATATACATGAACATACCTTCACATTAGCCTAAATGGCACGATGGATTTTTTAAGGTCTATTTATATTTGAAGTGAAGCCACAAACATTTATTTCACTTACTCCAAAAAGACCTCATTTTGGTTGTAACTCAATCAGCTTGACATAACTAAAAGAGAAATTCTCAAGCCTTTAAAAAAAGCAAGCATCAACTGAGGAACATTTTGGGATAAGAAACATAGTTTGATCAACAACGAAAATGCTTTCACAACTGAAGATTGTGACTGAAAAACACTGAACATATTTGAAGACACTTTTGCAATGTAGACACACTTTGAAATAATGTTACATGTTTTTTCAGAAAGCATTCATCAGGCTTACACATCAAAGGTTAATGTCAAGGGTATGGAATCATGAAAAGGAGGATAAATGAACTATTGAATTGAAAAGTTGATAAAGGACAGAAAACAAAGGAAAGCGATAAGTGGAAATTTAGAGCTGAAAATTACTTTTCATTTGATATTGGAACAAAAAAAGAAATTAATCTCAGGAAGGATTTCTGAGATTTTCTAAAACATATTTCCAAAGTTGCAATATAAATTAGTTTGAAAAGATGAGGGAAGCGTTCACTTTTAAAGAGTCTCATTTACCAAATATCTTTAACATGTTCTATGATCTCAAATTTGAGTTTTTACGAAATTGTTTCGCCCTCTGTTTATGTGGCTCCAGTAATAAAATATGAAAGTAAACGGTTTAGTTATGTCTGAATGCAAACAGAAAACTGTACTAAAATTATCCCCAATACCTTTCTAGAAGCCAGTGTACTTGTCCTTCTTCTTCACCTCACTATTGTCCTCATATTATTATTAATACTAACAGTTTTAAGATACTGAATTATGTGCAATTTATGGACTGTACCTATCTTTAATTTGATTATTCATGTATGAAACAAGGAGTTGGACTGGATGATCTTTACATTGTCTTCTATGCCTTAAAAAGTCACTGATTTTTAATTCTAGTGAGAATTTAGGAACAAATACATAAGGATTAAGACAAGTTTTCAACATTTTAAATTGATAAAGGTAAGAAAGGCATAAAAAGCATGAGGGTCAAAACAAACAAAAAAAATTATGCTGCTTCATTTTAAAAGCTCGTTCTCCTTAAAATTGAAAGAATCTTTCTAATTAATTATATCAGAGGTGCCACACATTTCTTGAGGAAACTGAATAAAATGATTTGTGTAAGTATTAATAAATATGAATTTGATATCTGATGAAATCTCATAAAACTTGGGTTATAGAAAAAATTTTTATCAACTGCTCATTTATTTTTATACAATAATTATCCAATAAATGTTATAATAATTCCTTTGCAGCTTTAGTTCCTTGACCAAAATCATGACAGACTAGGGCTCTCTTTGTGAAAACAGTCTGCTAGATACTTCTCTACACAAGTTCACAGAAAAAAAAAGTCTGCTAGATTCCAGTTATGATTCTGCAGAGATCAGGATTTCTTTTTCTTAAGAATGAATGGTCTTTTCATCTTACCTATACTCATTGAAGAATAATTTTCTTGAAAATTAACTGCACCCAAAGATTTTATAGAGCAACAAAAAATAATAAAAACTACACTTTAGAGAAGAAAGATACAGAGTAGCTTCTATGAATATTTAATATTTGTGAATATTAAAATTATCAATAAGGTACCAAATATGTAAGGTACACTATGCTAACCAAAAGTTGATTATCTTGTATGGGTATTGATAGAGCCAGGAGGCAGACAAATGCCTAGCAGATAGGGAAGGCTCCCCAGAGAACTTCCTTCACACCCAGGTCGTTGTACACAGTGGGCTTTCTTAAACATGCCCACAGCGAAAAATTCCATCCCTTAACACATGTGCAATAAGGGAAGTAAATCAATATGGAGTGGCTCAGACTTAGGGCCGGCATGGGCACTAAAAGAATGGGGAGGAGCCGCCAGGAATTTGTGCTTTATGTTGACGAGGAGCCTGGTCTCTTCAGCTCCTGTGTGTGGAGGCCTGGTATTCAACTTTGATTACTTTTCACTTAATAAATTTCATCCTCCTCACTCTTCATTGTGTCCACATGCCTACTTCTTTCTCGTCATGAGACAAGATCCCGGATTTAACTGAGCTAAAGAGCAGAAAATCCTGCATCATTTCTGTGGCCTGTACAGGGCCATGAGGAAGGGTAAGTAAAATGTGGACCCAAAAATCTCTTTCCCTTTCATTTCTAAGCTTCTTCAACCTTAGACTTAGTCCGAGGGCAGGGAAACTGCCCTTCCACGTCGCTCTCAGGGTTCAGGAATGTCGGCCTCAGTGCAACTGAGTCTTTTCTATGGCATTTTCTTTCTTTTTTTCAGGACTGCAATGGCATTTATATTTTCTTTTACGGTATTAGGGGTGTTCCACCACCACCCCAACAGCCACAGGCACACAAGCAGGAAGGATGGGCAAACAGCCCCTTCCTGCTCCCCCTCCTCTCCCAGCTGGCATGCATGGCAGTGTCTGCTGTGCGTGAAGCATCAAACAGCCATGTAGGGCGTAACTGAGCCATAGCCACTGCCTGGGCCTCAGGGCAGTCTCGGGGGCCACAGGCCCCACATGGCTGGCAAACCAGCATTCTCTGCTTCACATCCAAGGAGCCGTCCCCTCCTCCAGCCCAGGGGTCCAGCTCAGTACAACAGCAATTAAAAGTTTTTCTCTCTGTTGGAGTAACCTATTTGCATAAGAATAAGAGGATCTTAGGCCGGTGTGGTGGCTCATACCTGTAATCCTAGCACTTTGGGAGGCTGAGGCAGGTGGATCACAAAGTCAGGAGTTCGAGACCAGCCTGACCAACATGGTGAAACCCCATCTCAACTAAAAATACAAAACTTAGTGGGGCGTGTTGGCACACACCTGTTATCTCTGCTACTCAGGAGGCTGAGGCAGGAGAATCACTTGAATCTGGGGGGCAGAGGTTGTAGTGAACCAAGATCATGCCACTGCACTCCAGCCTGGGCAACAGAGCAAGACTCCATCTCAAAAAAAAAAAAAAAAGTTTTATCACTCAGTCATCTTCCCTGCCCCAGACTTAAGATGTTTTTTTTCTTTTCTTCACTCTGTCAGGAGTTAGCTTTTATGCGAGAGGTTTTGTTTCTTTGTTTTTTTTTTGTCCTTTGGAAGACATCTTGTTAGGTCAGGACCCCTATTTACATTTACAAGACACCCATTTATCTCCCTTATTTGAGGAGGCAACAGTCAGTCTGGCAAGGGACACCTGGGGCTTGAAGAGTTTATGTACCCCCAAGGCAATTGCTTTGTCCCAAACTCAATTCCAAGATTCAGGTTGAAAATCTAGGAAAGAAAACTGGATCTGATTGATCCGGAGGCAGATGACAACTGAAGTTAAAATGCACAGTGCAGGTAAGCATGACTAATTCCTGCCGATTAAGCCAAGCCTCCCATTTCATGGATAAAGCTCATGCTAGTATCCATGGTATTAATGAGGTCTAGGGAACTTGAAGACTACTGACAGCAGAGGGAAAAGGCAACACATGGGTCAGAGTGTATGATCCCACTCTTAGACCCCCGGTTAGCATGGGTGAAAGCCACTCTGAAACCCATGGCAGCACCCTGTCGAGATCACCAAGACTCGGGGATATAAGGATGGAAGAAGGAAAGAGGATGCTTTTCCTTTTCTCCCTCATGTATCATGGGTATTTGCTAGGAAGAAAAAGGAACCAGGGATGCCTGGCTCCCCTCTTTCTATATGAGTAGTCAATCCATTTTCAGTCTGTACCACTTTCGAATGCATCCTGAACCCCTTTGACTCCTTTGAAAAAAAAGATGCCTTCTTTTTTCCTTTTTCCTTTTCTGTCCTCTCTTTACAGATGGGTAATTTTGTCCCTGTACTACAAGATACTCCCCTCAGATGAATCCTCCAAACTAGGGAAAGTTAATTTGCCAAACCTTAAACTGGTTGACTTAGAATTGAGTTTACGGGAAGGGAACCCAGAAGTCTGACAGGCCAGCAAAGGGGTAAAAGTTTTTTTTCACAAGTCAGACTTTTGGCCTCTCTCTCCCTGTGCAAACCAGTACAAGGAATGGTAAGGATCACTGTTTATATCCTCTGTAAAGTTTTCATTAATGAAAAAGGATTTATGAGGTTGATCTTAAGCTGTAGTGAATCTGGTTTATTTTGTGCTATAAATTTGTCTTTCTGTGTCATTCTGTCATTAAGAGGGGTTCCTTAGGATAGAACACAGGCTAAGGACCCCATAAGCTTGCTGTTCAAAATGACCCAGCAAGCTGGTTGGTCGGCAACAAACTTTGCCACAGTTCAACAAACAAACAAACTGGATGAAGTCTCCATCTTGTTTTATGTCCTGAGGAACTTGACCTTGTAATCACATGGTGGTACTTCTTCTTGGTCTACACCTTCCAGGGAACAGGAATTTTGGGGTTCATGGCATAGTTCTCTCTAAAAATTATTAAGTAGTTAAAAGTCTTTGCAAACCCAAAATTACCTACTCTAGACTCCTTCTGGGAAAGGGAATGAAGACTGCCCAGTGCTATAGCTCAGTAGCTAAGGCTTTGTTCTTTCATAGTGGTGGCCCAAGTTCAATTCTCAGCATAGGTAAGGAGTCCTTTCCGGTTTGATATCTGTGTGACATTTACCATTTGTCGATTCTCCTCCCCTCCATGAACCATCTTGAATTTTCCTTCCCCTGGGCACCTGGGAGGCTACCTTTGGTAGAGTTCAAAAGCCGGAAATATTGGCCACTTTGCATGTCTAAAGTCAGGTAATAAGTGATTTAAATGGACTTAAAGAGAGCTTGGCTTAATTAAAAGTGGATATTCAAGTTATAGGCATGTTTAAAAGACCTTTACATTTGTTTCTCTTCTTGGATCTTGTTTTTCTGAAAAGAGGTTTTTTTCTCAGTCGACTGAATTACTTTTCTCCACTTTGTGTTGCCATTCATAATGTACACATGTGAGGCCCTAAGATAACTTCTGATGGCCTGGGAATCCCTGGGAAAAACAGAAAAGGCACCATGGATTCCACTTTGGGAAAAACCTGTTTTCCTTAGGGAACCACAGGAATTGGTTGACAGCAAATACATGACTCTCAACATCTGTTTTTGTCTTTCAGCTATACCTGCTTATTGGGCCCTAGAAACTGCATGTTTTCCTAGCCTTGCTCTTAAAGGGCTCCACGTGGATGCCAATAATCCAATTAGGAGATTGGCAAACAAAAAATCTTGTAACTACTGGATCT
The DNA here is from genome assembly GCF_000001405.40 of Homo sapiens. Classification (NCBI taxonomy): domain Eukaryota; kingdom Metazoa; phylum Chordata; class Mammalia; order Primates; family Hominidae; genus Homo; species Homo sapiens. The sequence continues at coordinate 89,180,295 of NC_000023.11, read as the reverse complement.
TTTTCTATCTGTCTGTGTAGTTATATATGTGTTGTGTATACTGTCTATAAAAAAGAGCTCTAATTAATTGGCTTAAAGAAAACGAAACACTTAAATCAACTATTTTTTGAAGGAAAGGTGAAAGCTGTAATACCTTTTAGTTCACGTAACTTTATTCTTTGAGAAATAAAAACAGTCTTAAAGATTATTGGTAAAATGCAAATGTCATTAAAATAAAAAAGGTGGTCTAACTTAGGCAGGTCAGATACTAGGTTTGCTAAGTGTTTTATGGTTGTAAACTGCTTCTTTGGCATTGATAACTGTTCGACTTGCCTGCTTTACAACTTGGTAAGGCCTGGAGCCATATGGAATTAACCACTCCCTTAACTATGCTGATAGGATTCAAACTTTATTGGCACCTAGTGCGTAATTAAAACAACTTACCAGATTTTACATTAAAGTTAAAAATTGCTGAGAGTTAACATTATAATATGTAATTGAGACCACTGAAAATGGATTTACATGGAAGGTGTGTAAGGACAGTAAAATGTGTTTTTTTAGTAAAAAATTATAAGAAGGTATAGAAATGTAATTTTTTGCCTAGGGTTAAAGGATTGTTTTGAATTAGATGAGATAAAACTGAAGGTTTAAACAAGTTGTGGAGGGATTGTAAAAACTAATCTTGGAAAAGAAAGTCTGTGTGTGAACATATTAGCTAAATTCAAACGGGTATTATATGATTTTTCTGTAAATTGTGCATTGAAATAAAAGCACAACAAGGTTTCCTTAAGGCACTAATCTGCTCTTCAGCAAAATTTGTAAAGGGTTGTGAAAGGCTTATAAGAATCTTACCTCATAGTCAAACTGGTTAAGATTGGATAGAATTGCCTATAATGTTTCATTTAAAAAATTGGGGTTGACATTAATAGTAAACTAATGTAAGGGTAAAATTTGGCTTTCTCTCCCTTGTACAAGATTTTCATGTAATAGTAAATAATAGTGAAAAATTTCCATTTGCCTTGCAGATAAACTGCCAAGACAAAGAAAGAGAAGAAAGGAGACAAATTGTTTGCAAAGCTGTTTTCCCTTTTAATGAGTAAAGGTTTTTACCTTGTTTTATAATTTTTGAGTCATCATTTTGGCAAAATAACTAATTCATGGTAATCTGGAATTCTATTTCATGACATTAAATGTTTTAAAACTCTAACATTAAACAGGCTTCTCAAAATCAAATTTTAGCTTCAGGGTTGTCTTTCCTGACCCCTGGCTTTTGGATGCTACAGAGGGCTCTTGGAGCATCCAAAAGAGAGGTAAACAGAATTATTTGACAAGTTTAGTTACGTGAGATTACTAAAATGATGTTCAGTCTTCTTCAGGTTACATTTTAGTGAATAATATTAATATACGTTCCAAAATTATATGGGATTTCTAAAATTCGAATGTCTGAGTATATGCTGCTATCAATCATAATTAAGGTTAAATTATTGTAAACCAAAGTGATAACCAAATTTCTTGTCAATTGTGTATTTAATTGTAACTACCCTGGACATTTTGTTATTCACAGACAATTGTCTCATCTTGATCCTCTTCAAAAGATGATTTATAATCAGCTATAAGACTTCGACAGGTGCTCTCAAATTCAGGTTTCTGATAACTTTGGAGATTATGACATTGGAATAAGGAAAAACATACAGGATTAATGAATAGCTGAAATGTTCAGAAATATCAAACAGAACAAGTGTTAACAGAATGGACCAGGCATGGTGGCTCACTCCTGTAATCCCAGGATTTTGGGAGGCTGAGGCGGGAGGATCACTTGAGACCAGGATTTTGAGACCAGCCTGGCCAACGTGGAGAAACCCTGTCTCTACTAAAAATACAAACATTAGTTGGGCATGTTGGCGTGCACCTGTAATTCAGCTACTAGGGAGGCTGAGGAAGGAGAATCACTTGAACTGGAGAGGTGGAGGTTGCAGTGAGCTGAGAGCATGCCACTGTATGATAAGTTTCAAAACTTACCATACATTTGTCATTAAATTCTAGACTCAGTTGTTTTTAAGCTTTTTACCCACATTTTGAACTAACCCTGCTTATTTCATGGATCAACCAGTGATGTCTAGCTGCAGTTCAGAAGAAACAGAAGGGATGCGTAATGTAAAAGTCTGGATTAATATTCTAGTTCTGGGCAATTATCCTACAAACCCTGCAAGGTGATACGAGTAAATAGGCTGTCCATAACCCGGAGGTTTCTTTATACGGGAAAATAAGACCAAGGGAGCTAATCAAAGCCAAGTCCCATGCACCCAAATCTTGGCAGGCATAACTGTAGCCACCAGCTATCTGGGTGTGCCATCAGTCTTGGGATTTTTGAGCTGTCCTTACCCACCCCTTTTTGTTTCGTTTTGATACATGTATTCTAATAACCCAGTTTGTCTCTTCTCACCTTCAGGCCACCAAACTCTAAATGGTCATGCAAACAATGCCTCTGATGATGGCTCTTTTTACTGGGGACCCTTAGATAGGCCTCTGAGGGAGACATGACTGCCATCTTCCCAAAACAGCGCCCCCTGTCAGCAGGAAGCAGTTAAGATCAGTCTTCATCCGTATTCTAACACAGTCAGATGTACCTCTTTAGAAGCGGGAATGATAGAGGCAGGAAGCTGACAAATGCCTAGCAGATAGGGAAGGGCCCTCAAAGAACCTCCAACCTGCCCAAATCATTCCACACATGGGGGTTGCCTAAATATGCCCACACTCAAAAATTCCATCCCTTAACACATGCACAGTAATGGAAATAAATCAATGTGGAGTGGCTCAGACTAAGGGTCGGCATGCACCCTGAGAGAATAGGGTCAAACCCCCAGGAATTTGCACCTTTTGTGGGGGAGGAGCCTTACCTTTGCAACTCATGCGTGGTGGCCTGGTATTCAAATTTGTGAGGTGGAAGCCTGTGTGCAGGACACCTCTCTTTACTGAGTGCTTTCCTTTCACTTAATAAATTCTGCCCTCACCCCCCTTCATTGTGTCCGTGTGCCTACTACTTCCTGGTGATGAGACAAGATCCCGGATTTAGGTGAGCTAAGGAGCAGAAAATCCTGCATCAGTATATTCTGTACCGTGATTCTCAGTCATCAGCATGCATCAGAACCACCTGTGTCCCATCCTCAGCGATTGAGTGATGGGGCCCAAGAATTTGCATTTCTAACATTTTCCTAGGTGATGCTGATGCTGCTGGTCTATGAACAACATTTTGACAACCACTCATCTATGACACTGATTTCCAAATTTAAGCACTAAACCTGTTTACATCGGAATAATTCAACAGCTGAGAAAAAATAAATTTCTTGTTTCCAGACCTAGAAGAAACTGATTCAGCATGTCTTCAGTGGATTGCAGAATGCTATTATTTCCTAAACCATTGTTTTCCTGATTCTGATAATCAGTGAAGTTTAAGTGTTTTCCGTTTTGTTCTTTTCAGTCATCTGGTTTATAGACTTCCTATATAGAGGCAGATAAAATCAATGTATCTTCTAATATCTTTTTCCAATTATATAGGGAGAAATAAAGTACAATGAAAATCAGGTAGAATATAAACTTGATCATTTTAAAACCTGTAGGGAAACTTTATTATAAAATTTGCTTCTGGAATCACATGAAAGCAAAAGATGCTGTGGGTGAGTTTCCACACAGATAGAAACTAAATGAAGAGCTTTATATCATTGATCATATTAATTAAAAAACAATTGGTAGTTTATTTGCTTTTCAAATAAAAGGAAGACAAAGACAGATACTGTGATGGTAGATTTAAAGATGTCGCATAGAGAATGCCAGAGACACTTCAGAAAGATTACAATATTCTGATGATAATAGAAAACCAGAATAGTGAAACCCTCTTATAAATTGCTTCCCTATACTATGGATTTAGTGGATCAAGGTATTTCCCATGCATACAGAGGTATAATTCATCTTTCTCACACTCATATGTAGAATCTTCTACAAAGAATAAAGTAAAGCAATCATAAGCCTTTGTGATAGATGAAATTTCTTTAAATCATTTTTAAAGACCTTGTTAGGTTTTCTATTTAAGCTTATTTTAAAGCAGGATTCTTTTAAAATGAAAGACTTTTGATGACTTCTAAGAAGGCAGTTTTCAAAGAGTAGCTAGTTTTTAAGGTAATTTTTACTGCTAATAAATGTGCTATTATATTTAAATTTTAAGAACCATTTAGAAAAAGAATTAATTAATGATATGAGGAGAAAAAAACATGTTTATCACTTTTAAAAAGTGGGAAATGGCTCCCCTCAGATTAGGGGCACAGTCATAAATGACTTGTGCTTGATGTTTAAAAAATAATACTTTTTGTTGCTTTGTTTTCCCTTTCTCTATCATTTTCTCTCTCTCTCTTACCCACCATAACACACACACACACACACACACACACACACGATTTAATTACAATGCTAGAAAGATAAACTAAGACCATCCATTGAATTACCTCAGGTAGTCCAAACTGATTTAATAATCAAACAAGTCTAATAATCAATTCTAGCTATGAAATCATTATTAAAATAAATTGGGGCTGATAATAGTAAGGAATTCAGGCTCTATCTGGGTAGTACACCTTAAAAGAGTGATCTATAAAAAATATTTACCTTTTGGTTTAATTTTTAAGCCCATTTATCTTAATAAGTCTTATATTTGCATTAAACATAGCTATACCGTTTAAAAATAATCTCATGAAATAAATCGCAACCATTATATAAGTAGAACAGTACAATTATACTCAATTATTTACTTGTAAGTGTTTAACAATCAGTTTCTGGAAAAGAAGTATATATGTGTATATATATATATAATTTTACTAACATAAAAGATATGTAGCACACAATGCAAAGTAATAAAGAAAAAACTTTACTGTAAATTCATATTGCCAATTGATTATTACAGAATATTTTTGAAATTTTTGTTGAACTCTTGTTGCCATATCCTACTTATTATAATTGACAAATGAGTGTACTTTTGCCATGAATGTTGGTTGACATTTTTGTTTAGGTTAATGAATGAGACAACAATGAAACAATAAAGGTGCATGTTGGAACTTCACTCATTCATCAATGACACGAACTGTTTTATCGCAGAATTGGATAATGGTTTATTTAAAGGGGAAAAGCTTTCCTTTTGCCCTCTAAAGGTTTACTGAATGTTAACTGATAGCAGCCAGATTAACAGAAGAAAAAGGTATGCACATTTATTTAATATGCATAAGCATAGGATAATTTCAGAAAAATGATTACCCAATAACCCAATGATGCCCACATGCTTATACACAATGCTACATAGGGGTAAGGGAGATGGGGAAAAGGATAATTGTTTGAGCCTGGCAGGCGGAGGTTGCAGTGAGCCGAGATCGCACCAGGGCACTCCAACCTGGGTGACAGAGCAGCGAGACTCTGTCAAAAACAAACAAACAAACAAACCCTAAATTGGTAGCTGTGCAGACAATAGAGTTAATAGCCGAGTGCGAAGTATCCAATTAAGCCAGTCTCTCATTCCTAGGTATAGGTCAGTCCAATTAAAACAGTGTGCTCATTTTAGAAGATGGCATTGCAGATCGTCTCTGAAAGCTAGGCCACTATATGGTCTAGGCAAACAGGTTTTAGTAAGAGGCATTTCTATGGAAATGAAAATAAAACAAAGAGTAATATTTGGAGTAGTTTATTAAGTGGTTTCTGTGTCCAGTAGTAGAGAAAATGTCTAGATTTCGCATTTGAGGTTCATTTTCAATTCGAGCAGAAGCAGGCAGTGTCTATCTGAAAGATTCTTTTAGTTTGCAGTTTACATGTTATTAAGTTTGTCCAAATGTAAGCTGTTGTGGTGATTTTTCTTCAAATCCAAATTGTGTTGCTTTGGCTTGTAGGGCCTCAAGATAAAGGCAGTTTTAATTTCCAGTGATTCCAAAAAAGAAGAATAGGCAAATAGGGCTGGGCGTGGTGGCTCATGTCTGTAATCCCAGCACTTTGGGAGGCCGAGGTGGGCAGATCACAAGGTCAGGAGTTTGAGACCAGCTTGGCCAATATGGTGAAACCCTGTCTCTACTAAAAATATAAAAATTAGCTGGGCTTGGTGGTGGGCGCCTGTAGTCCCAGCTACTCGGGAGGCTGAGGCAGGAGAAATTGCTCTTGAACCTGGGAGGCAGAGGTTGCAGTGAGCCTAGATAATGCCACTGCACTACAGCCTGGACGACAGAGTGAGACTCCATCTCAAAAAAAAAAAAAAAAAAGAAGAAGAAGAAGAGGCAAATAATTGAAAACCTTGGTTTAGATTCTCAAAGACAGTAAATAATTCAAGATTCAGTCCAAATTGCAGGTAAATAACAAACCTAAAAAAAAGATATAGAATCTAATAATGGATGCATTATAGGTTTTGTCTAAAACATTTTTTTCTCTAAATCCCCCATAGTTTAACCAAAGATGGTCACTGTCAGAATGGCGTGTTTGCTAAATGAGCTTCACTTTTGGACTGATTATGTAAGTGTAGCAAGATTGGTGATTGATAATATATGCTCTTTTTAAAGTTAGCTTTGTTGAGAGGTTTTCATAAGAAACCTCAGACTACACTTTTGGAAAAGCCATTTGAGGCTAATAAGCCAAAGCAAAAATGTAACATCACTGTGCCTATATTACGTATATCAGTTGGTTGAATACCTCTTTTCTTGAGGTCCCCAAATAACTTAAAATCCTGGGCATGTCAAAACTGACATTCTTCACTTACTAAAAGGCCAGCCTGTCTAGACAAAATACCAGACCAGGTTTTCAAAGGTTTTAATTGGCTTCATAAATCCAACCTCAGTTTCTGAAAGCCAACTGGTCATATGTGAAATATAACATTCCAGTCAAAGCCTTGATAGTACCACCAGTGTCCCCAATTGTCCTGTTATAAAGAGAAGATATTTTTGAACTTATGAAAATTACTATATTGTCATAAAATAAGAATATTTATAAATAGTTTTCAAATTCTGAAAGAATTAGTTAGGATGAAAGTAAATAATTCAGTTCTACTCACAAAAGTATGCTTTTTCAATTTGCTACAAGCTATATATAGTTTAAAAAATGTTTCCCTCCATTTGAAAAGCAAATCATTTAAAAAATCAGCAATGTTTTCAATAAAACATTATTAAAATATAGTTTCTTTATCAATTGAATGTTATGTAATTAATTCTTATTCTGCTTAGTGTTGGGATAGAAATTTTATGGGTCCAGTTTTTGTTTCTTTTTTATTAGAATTCTGGAAATTTAGTCAAATCCTATAAATTCAAACATGTTAGAAACCTGTACTTATGAGAATATTAAAATTATTTTCCTACATACCTTCTAGAAAACACAATACTTTAAAATTTGTAACAAGTTTTAAGAGAAATGCATCAGAATAAAGCAATTTACTATGCACAAGACTTAAAATGGACATTCTTAAAAGCCTGATGAGAATTCATTATAACAATAATATAATCAACATGGAAATTTGGTTATTTTTATAGCACACAACAAATTTACATTAGAGTTATGACTGATAATGTATACCAAGTACATTAGTGAAGATTCTCCAAAGGGACAGAACCAATATGATATATGTATATATATAAAAGGGAGTTTATTTCGGAGAGTTGGCTAACATTATTACAAGGCAAAGACCTACAATAGACTGTCTACAAGCTGGGCAAAGAGAGAAGCAAGTCAGTAGCATGGCTCTGTCCAATTCTGAAAGCCTTAAAACCAGGGAAGCCGACAGTGCAGCCCTTGGTTTGATGCCAAAGGCCCAAGTGGAAGACCACTGACGAAAGTCTCAGAGTCCAGAGCCTAAGAACCTGGAGTCTGATGTTTAAGAGCAGGAGCAGAGGAAGCAAGTGTCTGGCCTGAAAAGAGACAGAGAGTGAGAGGACTCAGCAAGCTACTTAACCCCTTTTTTCCACCTGCTTTGTTTTAGCAATGCTGGCAACTGATTGGGTAGTGTCCATCCATATTGAGAGTGGTCTTTTTCTCTCATTCCACTGACTCAAACGTCAATCCCCTCTAAACACACCTTCAGACAAACCAAGAAACAATACTTTACCAGATATCTAGGCATCTCCTAATTCAGTCAAGTTGACACTCAATATTAGCCATTACGCAAAGACTTATCAGATTTCTAGGAATCTCATACATTTCAGATCAAATATTAATAACAAATTTATACAAATATGACTCAGAGTTAAACATCATTTCTTATTTGATAAGCTTTCCATATAATTTTAACATGTTAAGTAAGCCAATTAGTTTAATAAGTCTCTCTTTTCTTTCCACGGGCCCTTCTAGATTGTCCAAAAGTTAGCTTGTGGTCAAATAGACTAAATTTAGAATTTGGAATTTGATTTTAGGAAGACTGTCAAATATATCAAAGGTTTAAAACACTTGATCAAAAGAGGATCATAGGTCATTGCAAAATAATAGTCATCCATTTAAACAAAGTGATAATTATAAGTTTTTAAAAGCAAGTAAAGGAAGCTACATAGGAAAAGCAAAACCTTAATTCTTAATATTTAATTTTTGATAACATATCACTCTCTCTTTTTGCAGTTTAATCAAAATGTGAATATTTTACTATCTTTTATTAATACTATATAAAAAATTCAGTTTAAAAAGACCAAATTTTAGTTTTATATCAGTTGTATTAAGGCTCATTTTCTAAATTTTTATTTTATATATTTTTTTATGTTTGTTCTTATTTCAATAGGTCTTTGGGGAACAGTTAGTGTTTGGTTACATGAATAAGTTGTTTAGAGGTCATTTCTGAGATTTTGATACACACATCACCCAAGCAGTGTACGCTACACCAGTGTGTAGTCTTTTATCTCTAACCCTCTCCCACCCTTCACCCTGAATCCCCAAAGTCCATTGTATCATTCGTATGCCCTTCCATCCTCATACCTTAGCTTCAACTTACAAGTGAGAATCCACAATGTTTGGTTTTCCATTCGTGAGTTACTTCACTTAGAATAATGGTCTCCAACTCCACCCAGGTTGCTGTGAATGCCATTCTTTCAATGGCTGAGTAGTATTCCATGGCATTTATATACCACATTTTCTTTATCCGCTTGTTGATTGATGGACATTTAGGCTAGTTCCATGTTTTTGCAGTTGTGAATTGTGCTGCTATAAACATGCATGTGCAAGTGCCTTTTTCATATAATGACTTATTTCTCTCTTGGCAGATACCCATTAGTGGTATTGCTGGATCAAATGGTAGATCCACTTTTAGTTCTTTAAAGAATCTCCATAATGTTTTCCATAGTGATTGGGCTAGTTTACATTCCCATCAGCTGTGTAAAATTTTTCTCTTTTCACCACATCCAAACCAACATCTATTACTATTATTATTTTAATTATGGCCATTCTTGAAGGAGTAAGGTGGTATTGCATTGTGGTTTTGACTTGCATTTCCTTGATAATTAGTGATGTTGAGCATTTTTCCATATGCTTGTTGGCCATTTGTACATCTTCTTTTGATAATTCTCTCCTCATGTTTTAGCCCACTTTTTGATAGAATCATTTGTTTTGTTCTTGATTATTTGAGTTCCTTGTACATTCTGGATATTAGCCCTTTAATAGATACATAGTTTGCAAAGATTTTTTTCTTACTTTGTGGGCTGTCTGTTTACTCTGCTGATCATTTCTTTTGCTGTACAGAAGCTTTTTAATTTAATTAAGTCCCATCTATGTATCTATGTTTTTGTTGCATTTTGTTGCATTTGCTTTTGTGTTCTTGGTCATGAAATCTTTGCCTAATCTTTGCTAAGCCAAGAAGGGTGTTTCCAATTTTATCATCTTCTAGAATATTTATGGTTTCAGGTCTTAGGTTTAAATCTGTGATCCATCTTGAGTTGAGTTTTCAATAGGTGAGAGATGAGGATCCAGTTTTATTCTTCTACATGTGGCTTGACAATTATCCCAGCACCATTTGTTGAATAGGGTGTCCGTTCTTCACTTTATGTTTTTGTTCACTTTGTCAAAGTTCACTTGGCTGTAAGAATTTGGCTTTATATTTGGGTTCTCTGTTGTTTTGCATTAATCTATATGTGTATTTTTATACCAATACCATGCTGTTTTGGTGACTATAGCCTTAATAGTATAGTTTGAAGTCGGGAAATGTGATTCTTCCAGATTTCTTCTTTTTGCTTAGTCTCACTTTGGCTATGCAGGCTCTTTTTTGGTTCCATATGAATTTCAGCACTGTCTTTTCTAGTTCTGTGAAGAATCATAATGGTGTTTTGATGACCAATTCAATGAGGATTGGTGTTTTGATGGAGAATCACAATGGTGTTTTGATGACTAATTCAATGAGGATTGAATTCGTAGATTCCTTTTTGCAGTATGGTCATTTTCACAATGTTGATTCTACCAAGCCATGAGCATGGGCTATGTTTACACTTGATTTTGTCATCTGTGATTTCTTTCAGCAGTGTTTTGTAGTTTTCCTTGTAGAGGTCTTTCACCTCTTTGGTTAGGTATATTCCTAAGTATGTTATTTATTTATTTATGTTTTACAGTTATTATAAAAGGGGTTGAGTTCTTGATTTGATTCTCAGCTTGGTCACTGTTGGTATATAGCAGTGCTACTAATTCATGTACATTGATTTTGTACCTTCAAACTTTACTGAATTTATTAATCAGATCTAGAAGCTTTTTGGATGAGTCTTTAATGTTTTCTAGGTATACAATCATATCATCAGTGAACAGCAACAATTTTACTTCCTCTTTACTGATTTGGATGCCCTTTATTTATTTATTTATTTTTGTCTGATTGCTCTGGCTAGGATTTCCAGTACTATGTTGAAAAGAAGTGGTGAGAGTGCACGTACTTGTCTTGTTCCAGTTTTTGTGAGAAATGCTTTCAACATTGCCCCATTCAGTATGATGTTGGCTGTGGGTTTGTCATCCTTGGCTTTTATTGCCTTAAGGTATGTTCCTTCTATGCCGATTTTGCTAAGGATTTTAATCATAAAGTGATGCTAGTTTTTTGTCTCTTGCTTTTTCTGCATATATTGAGATGATCACATGATTTTTGTTTTTAAATCTGTTTATGTGGTGTATCACATTTATTGACTTATGTATGCTAAGCCACCCTTGCATTCCTGGTATAAAACCATTTATTTTTATTGGTTATTTTTTAATCCGCTCTTAGATTTGGTTAGCTAGAATTTTGTTGAGGATTTTTGCATCTATGTTCATCAGGGATATTGGTCTGTAGTTTTCTTTTTGTTATGTTATTTCCTGGTATAGGTATTTGGGTGATGCTGGCTTTATAAAATGATTTAGGGAGGATTTTCACTTGCTCTGTTTTTTGGAATAATTTCAATAGGATTGGTACCAATTATTCTTTGAATGTCTGATAAAATTCAGTTGTGAATATGTCTAGTCCTGGACATTTTTTGCTAATTTTTGTGTTACCATTTCAATCTCATTGTTTGCTATTGATCTGTTCTAAGTTTCTGTTTCTTCCTGGTTTAATCTACGAGGGTTGCATATTTTTAGAAAATTATCCATCTCCTCTAGGTTTTCTTGTTTGTGTGCATAAAGGTGTTCATAGTAGCCTTGAATGATCTTTTATGTTTCTGTGGTATCAATTGTTATATCTCCTGTTTTGTTTCCAATTGACTTTATTTGGATCTTCTCTCTTCTTTTTATAGTTAATCTCACTAAAGGTCTACCAAGTTTGTTTATCTTTTTGAAGAACCATCTTTTTGTTTTATTTACCTTTTGTATTTTTTTGTTTCAATTTCATTTAGTTCTGTTCTGATCTTTGTTATTTCTTTTCTTCTGTTGGGCTTGGGTTTGATTTGTTCCTTTTCTTCTAGTTCCTTGAGGTGTGACTATTGATTATCTATTTGAGCTCTTTTAGACTTTTTGATGGAGGCACTTAATGCTATGAACTTTCTTCTTAGCACCACTTTTGCTGTATCTGAGAGGTTTTAATAAGCTGTTTCACTATTGTAATTCAGTTCAAAGTTTTTTTTTAATTTTCATCTTGATTTCATTGTTGACCCAACAATCATTCAGGAACAGATCATTTAATCTGTGTCTATTTGCATGGTTTTGAGGGTTTCTTTTGGAGTTTATTTCTAATTTTATCCCACTGTGGTCTGAAAGAGTACTTGATAAAATTTCTGTTTTCTTAAATTTATCGAGACTTGTTTTGTGTCCTACCATAAAGTCTATCCTGGAGAATGTTTTATGTGCTGATGAACAGAATGTATATTCTGCAGTTGTTTAGTAGAATGTTGTATAAATATCTGTTAAGTCCACTTGTTCTAGGATATAGTTTAAGTCCACTGTTTCTTTATTGACTTTCTGTCTTGATGACCTATCTAGTGCTGTCAGAGGAATATTGTAGTCCCCCACTATTATTGTGTGACCATCTATGCCATTTCTTAGGTCTAGGAGTAATTGTTTTATAAATTTAGAAGCTCCAGTGTTAGGTGCATTTATATTTAGGATTGTGATATTTTCCTGTTGGACTAGTCCTTTTATCATTATATAATGTCTCTCTTTTTTTTTTTGACTGTTTTTGCTTTAATGTCTATTTTGTCTGATATAACAACAGCTTGTCCTGCTAGTTCTTGGTTTCATTTTGCATAAAATATCTTTTTCCACCCCTTTACCTTAAGTTTATGTGAGTCCTTATATGTTAGGTGAATCTCTTGAAGATAATAGATCCTTGGCTGTTGAAGTCTTATCCTTTCTGCCATTATGTATCCAATTGGAACATATAGTCCATTTACATTCAATGGTAGTATTGAGATGTGTGATATTATTCTATTCATCATACTAGTTGTTGCTTGAATGCTTTTTGTTTTTTTGTTTGTTTGTTTTTTCATTGTGTTATCCTTTTATAGGTCATGTGAGATTTATGCTTTAAGCGGGTTCATGTTGGTGTATACTGAAGATTTGTTTCAAAATTTAGAGCTCCTTTTAGCAGTTTTCATAGGCTGACTTGGTAGTGATGAATTCTCTCAGCATTTGTTTGTCTGAAAAAGACTATCTTTTCTTGATTTGTGAAGCTTAGTCTTGCTGGATACAAAATTCTTAGCCAATAATGGTTTTGATTAAGGAGGCTAAAAGTAGGACCCTAATCTCTTCTAGCTTGTAGGCTTTCTGCTGAGAAATCTGCTGTTTACCTGATAGGTTTTTCTTTATAGGTTACCTGATGTTTTTGCCTCACAGCTCTTCATATTCTTTCCTTCATCTCAATTTATATAATCTGATGACTGTGTGCCTAGGTGATGATCTTTTTGTGACGAATTTCCCAGCTGTTCTTTGAGCTTCCTCTATTTGGATGCCTAGATCTCTAGCAAGATCAGAGAAGTTTTCCTCAAATAATTTTCCAAAACTTTTAGATTTATCTTGTTTCCCGGGAACTCCAATTATTCTTAGGTTTGGTCATTTAATGTAATTCCAAAATGCTTAAAAACTTTGTTTATTTTTTTATTCTTTTTTTTTTCTCTTCATCAGATTGGGTTAATTTGAAAGCCTTGTCTTTGAGTTATGAAGTTCTTTTTTCTACTTGTTTGATTCAACTGTTGAAACTTTCCAGTGCATTTTGCTCTTCTCTAAGTGTGTCTTTCATTTCCAGAAGTTTTTATTGTTTTTTATTTGTGCTATCTATTTCTCTGGAGATTTTTTCTTCCAAATCCTGTTTTGTTTTCTTAATTTCTTTAAGCTGGTTTTTACCTTTCCCTGGTGCCTCCTTGAGTAGCTCAATAATTGACCTCCTAAATTATTTTTCTGACAGTTCAGAGATTTCTTCTTGGTTTGGATCCATTGCTGGTGAGCTAATGTGTAATTTTGGGGGTGTTGACAAATTTTGTTTTGTCATATTATCAGAATTGTTTTTCTATTTCTTTCTCTTTCAGGTAGACTATGTCAGAGGAAAGATCTGGGGCCCAAAGGCTGCTGGTAAGCTTCTTTTGTCCCATGGGGTGGGTGTGATCCTTTGATGTGGTGCACTCACCTTTCTCCTAAGGATGGGACTTCCTGAGAGCTGGACTGCAGTGATTGTTATTGCTCCTCTGGGTCTAGCCTCCCAGCAGAGCTACTGGGCTCTGGACTGGTACAGGGTAGTGTCTGCAAAAAGTCATATGGTATGATCTATCTTTTGGTCTCTCAGGTATACATACCACCACCTGATCCAGGAGAGGTAGCAGGAGAGTAAAGTGGACTCTGTGAGTGTCCTTGGATGTAGTTTTGTTTAGTGTGCTGGTTTTCCCCAGTGCTGGTTGTGCTAGCAGTGAAGTTGTCATGTGGACAGGCTCAAGACCTCTGGTTACAGAATGTTCCCTGCAGTGGAATTAGCTGTTGTCTTCTCCTTTCTTGAAGCAGGGTTGTTCTTCAATGAGTTGCTGTAATGGGTTGAGTTGGTTGGCCTTCAGCCAGGAGGTGAAACTTTCAAGAGAGCGTTAGCTGCAGTAGTATAGGAGGCATACAAGCTTGCTCTAAGGTTTCCTGGATAGATATTCGGGTTTCTCAGGTGATGGGTGGGGCCATAGACCTCCCAAGTGATTATGTCTTTTGTCTTTGGCTACCAGGGCTAGTAGAGAAAGAACATCAGCTGGGGTAGGGCAAGGCATGTCTGAGCCCTACTCTCCTTGGGTGGGGCTTGCTTTGTCTCAGTGTTTTGTCTTTATTATGGAGTTTGCAGTGGCAAGCCACTTCTTTCAGTGGGTCTGTGAATTCTTTCAGTTTTCCTGATACTTTCCTGCAGTAGTGCTTGGAACAAAAGTTCACGATGCTCCATATGCTGTTCTGTCCATCCGAGTGGGAGCTACAAGTTAGTCCTGCCTGCTATCTGTCATTGATGAATGCTCATTTTTAAAAATCCTTATAATAAATTTATTAATTTTAGTTAGTTTGATCACACATAAATTATTTTGTAAGTTTCTTATTTTATAAATCTTTATAATATTTGTACTCATTTTAGTTTATCTATATAATTTTTAATTAAAAAAATTTGAAACAACTTTTAAATACCAGGTAAACTAGACAAAATTACGTTTTCTTTAACAAAAACCACATCCTCATGCCTTTTTCTTACCTTTCTCCAAACAGACATATCTTACATTTTTGTAAATTTTGTATACTATCTTTTTTTTAGTTTTAGTTTTTAATTACATAATTACATAAAATAGTAATTAGAATGTTTAACTTTTAGTTATCTTAGTTATTATTTGGCAACACATTTTATCTTAATTAAAAATGATTTAGAATTAAGATAAATACCTATCATTTAATTTAATTTAGAAATACTTTAAGGGTATAGTTGTCAAAGAAACTTGAAAAGTCTTTTTAAGTAAAGAAATGTTAAATATGAATTCTAAATTTGTCTTCAAAGAATTAATATGTCAGTATGTTCAGTTCTTTGCCTTGTATTTTTAAACTTAACTTCCACATAAAGCAACCTTTTTCCATTATCTACTCTACCCTGACTCATTCCGATCACCTGCTCCACCCTGACTTATTCCGGTTACCTGCTACCTGCTCCACCCTGACTCATTTTTCTCCACCCTGCATAACCATTTTTTTTTTCCCACCAAGGCACTCACCCCATCATTCTCTAAATTAGCCAGTTGGAATCAGTTTAGCCTGTGCGGTCCAACCCTAGCCAATAGGGGAATGACACAGCAGCAGGTGCCACGTGCATCAGGGATAAGAACCCCTTTCCCTCCCTTGTCCAGGTGTGCACTCGCCATTGCTCCATCTGTGAGGGTGCACCCTTCTATAGAAGTACCTTGCCTTGCTGAGAATTAAAAATAAAATTTTATATTCGAGTGCTATTTCTTTTGCGGCACCGAAACTTTATATATAATGGTTTTTAGATGGCTCACTAGAAACAGTGGCGTTCAGAGACTCCCATCAAAACGAACCATAGTAAGCATGTGAATCCTTTACTAGCAACCAAGGTATCGAGGTTCTCTCATCAGAAATGACTAGGAGGCTGGCGTGATCCACGGAGAGCAAGGAAGAGCAATGTAGTGCTGTGGCCCACCTGAGAGCCACATGGGGCAAGAGAGCCCCCACCACCCCAGCCAAAGGAGGCAGTGAGTGAGCATGCCACCCAGCCAGGGAAACTGTGCTTTTTCCACAGAACTGTGCAACCCACAGATTAGAAGATCCCACTCGTGAACCCATGCCACAGGGAACTAACGTCCCAACCCCAGACCCCTGCAGATTCTCAACAGACTCTTAGCTGGAATCTGCTTAAGCCTAGCAGGCTCCTGGGGGGAGGGGTGACCAACACCACAGCTGCGGCTGCCTGCTGTCTAAGCCATTTGAGCTCCTCAGGGGACGGGAAGCACTCAGCACTGGGACTCACAACTGTCTAACATGCTAAGCTCCCCGGGCAACGGAAGGGTGGCATCCATCTCTATAGCTCCAGGCTGTGCTTTTCCCCTGCTGGAGCCAGGGAGGCTGGACCACTTGGTCAAAAGACCTGTCCCCCACAGCCCAACACACTGACTGTGGCAGACTGAAACCACAGTGCCTCTTCAGGCTTGACTCTGACTCATCCTTCCTCATTGGGAACTCCAATAACTCTAGCCAGAGGCTCAGAGAGAGAACCTGGATCTCCCTGGGCCTGAGGCTCCAGGGGAGGGGTGGCCACAGTCTCTGCCGACCAGCAGACATAGCCTTTTCTCCTGGTAGTTCTGAGGAATCCAGGCAGCCCAGACTAGTGGGTTTTTCCCCAGTGAAGCACACCCCCTCCACCAAGGGACAGACAAAGTGCTTCATTAAATGGGTCCTGTTCCCCGTGCCACCCAACTGGGTGGGACCCTCCAACAGGGATTGTTAGACATCCTACACAGGAGCCTACTGGCATCAGGTTGGTGCCCTTCGAGGTCAGATATCCCAGAAGAAGGAGCAGGCACCTATCTCTGCTGTTCTCCAGGCTCCTTAAGTGACATCTCCAGGCGTGGGAGTGAACCAGGTGAATAGGCTCTGAAGTGAACCCACAGAAAACTGTAGCAGCTCTACAGAAGAGGGATCTGAGCATTGAAAGAAAAACAAACAAACGGAAAGCAACAACAACAACATCAACAACAAAAGGCCCCAAAAAACCCTATCCAAGGGTCAGCAGCCGCAAAGATTGAAACTAGACAAACTCACAAAGATGAGAAAGAATCAACAACAATTTAAAATAAATGCCAAAAACCCAAAAGGCCAGAGTGCTTCTACTCCTCCAAATTATCACAACGTCTCTCCAGCAAGGGTGCAGAACTGGACGGATGATGAGATAGTTGAATTGACAGAAGGAGGCTTCAGAAGATGGGTAATAAAAAACTACACTGAGCTAAAGGAGCATGTTTTAACCCAAAGCAAATAAGCTAAGAACCTTGATAAAAAGTTAGAGGAGCTGCTAATTAGAATAGCCAATTTAGAGAGGAAAATAAATGACCTGATGGAGCTGAAAAATACAGCATAAGAACTTCATGAATCATATACAAGTATCAATAACTAAATTGACCAAACAGAAGAAAGGATATCAGTTTGAAGACCACTTTGCTGAAATAAGGCATGTAGATAAGACTAGAGAAAAAAGAATGAAAAGGAAGGAACAAAGCCTCCAAGAAATGTGGGACTTCATAAAAAGACTGAACTTGTGATTGATTGGAGTACCTGAAGGAGATGGGGAGAATGGAAGCAAGCTGGAAAACACACTTCAGGATATTATCCAGGAGAACTTCCGCAACCTAGTAAGGCAGGCCAACATGCAAATTCAGGAAATACAGAAAACACCACTAAGATACTCCATGAGACGATCAACCCCGAGACATAATCATCAGATATTCCAAGGTCAAAATGAAGGAAAAATTGTTAAGGACAGCCAGAGAGAAAGGCCAGGCCACCCACAAAGGAAAGTTCATCAGATTAATAGCAGAGCTCTCAGCAGAAGCTCTACAAGCCAGAAGAGACTGGGGGCCAATATTCAGCATTATTAAAGAAAAGAATTTTCAACCCAGAGTTTCATATTCAGCCAAATTGAGCTTCATAAACAATGGAGAAATAAAATCCTTTCCAGACAAGCAAATGCTGAGGGATTTCGTTACCATTAGGTCTGCCTTGCAAGAGATCCTGCAAGAAACACTAAATACGGAGAGGAAAAACCAGTACCAGCCACTGCAAAAACACACCAAAATATAAAGACAAATGACACTATGAAGAAACTGCATCAACTAGTGTGCAAAATAACCAGATAGCATCATGATGACAGGATCAAATTCACACATAACAATACTAACCTTAAATGTAAGTGGGCTAAATGCCCCAATTAAAATACACATACTGGAAAATTGGAGAAAGAGTCAATATCCATCGGTGTGTTGTATTCAGGAGATCTATCTCATATGGAAAGACACACATAGGCTCAAACAAAGGGATGGTGAAAAATTTACCAAGCAAACAAAAAGCAGAAAAAAAGCAGGGGTTGCAGTCTTAGTCTCTGACAAAACAGACTTTAAATCAACAAAGATAAAAAAAGACAAGAAGGACATTACATAATGGTAAAAGGAACAATCCAACAAGAAATGCTAACTATTCTGAATATATATGCACCCAATGCAGGAGCACCCAGATTCATAAAACAAGTTCTTAGAGACTACAAAGAGACTTAGACTCCTACACAATAATAGTGGGAGCCTTTAACACCAAACTGTCAATATCAGACAGATCAATGAGACAGAAAATTAACAAGGATATTCAGGACTTGAACTCAGCTCTGGATCAAGGGGACCTGGTAGACATCCACAGAACTCTCTACTCCAAATCAACAGAATATACATTCTTTTCAATGCCACTTGGCATTTTTTCTAAAATTGACCACATAATTAGAAGTAAAACACTCCTCAGCAAATGCAAAAGAACTGAAATCATAACAAACAGTCTCTCAGACCACAGTGTAATCTAGATATAACATTATGAAAGAAACATTGAATTTAACTTGCACCGTAAACCAAACGAACCTGTCATTTATAGAACATTTCATTCAACAGTTGCATAATACACATTATTCTCATCAGCACATGAAACATTCTCTAGCATAGACCATATGTTTGGTCAGAAAACAAATTTTAACAAAGTTTTATTAAAATTTACTGCTGAATTCTACCAGACTTTTAAAAAAGCACTAATACTGATTCTTCTCAAACTATTAAAAACAAATAGAAAAAGGGGGAATTCTTCCTTATTCAACAAAAACAGCACTATCTTTTTACGAAAACCAGACAAGGATGCAAACAAACAAAAAAACAAACAGAAAACTATAGGCTCCAATATCCCTGATGAACATAGATGTAAAAATCCTCAACAAGTCTGGGCATGGTGGCTCATACCTGTAGTCCCAGCACTCTGGAAGGCCAAGGTAGATGGATCTCTTGAGCTCAGGAATTTGAGACCATCCTGGGCAAATGGTGAAACCCCGTCTCTACTAAAATACGAAAAAAATTGTCCGGGCATGGTGGCATACACCTGTAGTCCCACCTACTCAGGAGACTAAGGCACCAGAATTGCTTGAGCCCTGGAGGCAGAGGTTGCAGTGATCCGAGATCATGCCATTGTACTTCAGCCTGGGCTACAGAGAGAGACTCCATCTCAAAAATAAATAAATAAATAATAAATAAAAATTCTCAACAAAATACTATAAGACTAATCAAACAGCACATCAAAAATATAATAAACTATGATCACGTGGGAGTTATCTCAAAAGTACAAGGATGATTCAACATATTCAAATCAATAAATGTGATATATCACATCAATAGAATAAATGTGATATATCATATAGCAACTACATGATGTGATATGTGTTATATCACATAACAATCACACAATCATCTCAATGGATACAGAAAACACATTTGAGGAGATTCACCTTCCCTTCATGATAGAAACTCCATAAATTATGCATAGTAGTTACATATCTCAACACAATAAAGGCTGTGTTTGACAAACCCACAGCAAAAATTATACTAAATGGGGAAAAGTAGAAAAATTTTTCTCTAACAACTGGAAAAAGACAAGGATGCCCACTTTTACCACTCTTATTCATCATTGTACTGAATATCCTAGCCAGACCAATAAGAAATAGAAGAAAACATAGGGCTTCCACAATTAAAATAGAGAAAGTCAAATTGTCCCTCTTTACAGATAATATGATCTCATATCTGTGAAACCTAAATATCCCACAAAAAAACACATCAAAACTGATAAATAAATTCAGTAAAATTGCAGAACAGAAAATCAACATACAAAAATTAGTAACATTCCTATACATCAATATCAAACTAACTGACAAGGAAATCAAGAAAGCAATATGATTTTAATAGCTATAAAAAATACATTATGCCTAGAAATGAAATTAGCTAATGGCATGTAAGATCTCTCCAATGAAAACTAAAAAACACTGATGAAAATGAAAATTGAAGATTAGACACACCAAAAATGAATAGACATCCTATTTTCATGGACTGGAAGAATTAATATTCTTAAAAGGAACATTTTACACAAAGCAATATACAAATTCAATAAAATCCCCATTAAAATACCAGTAACATTCTTTACAGAAACAGATAAAATAATCTCCAAAATTCTTTAGAACAAAAAATGAGCCCATATACCTGAAGCAATCTGGAGCAAAAAAAACAAAGCTGGAGGCAGCACACTAACTGACTTTAAACCATATTACAAGGTTATAGTAACCAAAACGCCATGGTTTTGTTTTAAAAATAGACCCATAGACCAATGGAGCATCATACAGTTTGGTTATGTCCACACCCAAATCTCATCTTGAATTGTAACTCCCACAATTCCCACATTTTTTGGGAGGAACACAGTGGGAGGTAACTGAATCATGGCGAAAGGTCTTTCTTGTGCTGTTCTTGTGATAGTGAATAAGTCTCATGAGATCAGATGGTTTTAAAAAGAGGAGTTCCCCTGTGCAAGATCTCTCACTCTTTGCCTGCTGCCATCCATGTAATATGTAATTTTCTCTTCCTCGCCTTCCACCATGATTGTGAGGCCTCCCCAGCCATGTGGAACCGTAAATGAATTAAACCTCTTTTTCTTCTCCGTCTCAGGTATGTCTTTTTCAGTAGCATAAAAACGGACTAATGCAGAGCATATAGAAATAAATCCACATATTTACAACTAACTGATCTTGAATACAGTCATCAATCACATACATTGGAGAAAGGCCACTATTTTCAATAAACAGTGCTTGGAAAACTGGATAATCAGATGCAGGAGAATAAATGTGAACCCCTATCTCTCACCATATACAAAAATCAACTCAAAATGTATTAAAGACTTAAATATAAGAAACAAAGTTAGAAAACTATTGAAGAAAACATAGGGGGAACACTTCAGGACATAGGTCTGGGCAAATATTTTATGGATAAGACTTCAAAAGCATGAGCAACAGAAACAAAAATAGACAAATCAAATATTTCAAATTAAAAATCTTTACAGCAAGGGAAACAATCAACAGAATAAAGAGACTACCTGTAGAATGATAGAAAGTATTTGCAAACTATTCTTCTGACAATGACTAATATCTCAAATATACAAGAAGCTCAAACAATAGCAAAAAATCAAGTAATTTTATTAAAAAAAGGGCAAAGGACCTGAATAGACATTACTCAAAGGAAGACATACTAGTGACCAACAGCTATATGATATAATGCTCAACATCACTAATCATTAAAGCAAAGCAAATCAAAAGCACAATGAGATATGATCTCACCCTAGTTAGAATGGCCATTATCAAAAAGACAAAAGTGAAGGTGAAGATGCAGAGAAAAGGGAACTCTTTTAAACTGTTGGTGGAAATGCAAATTAGTACAGCCACTATAAAACACATTATGAAATGTTCTCAATAAAATGAAAATAGAACTACCATATGATCCAGCAATCCCACTACTGGGTATTTATCCAAAGGAAAAGAAATCAGTATCTCGAAGAGATATTTGTACCTCCATGTTTATTGCAGCATTATTCACTATAGTCAAGATATGAATCTAAGTGTCCATCAACATATGAATGGATATAGAAAATGTGATATATATACACAACAAAATACTATTCAGCCATAAAACAGAATGAATTTCTGTCATTGGCAGCAATATGGATAAACCTGGAGAATATAATGTTAAGTGAAATAAGTCAGACACGGAAGGGTAAATACCACATATTTTCAGTAATATGTGAATGATAAGTTGAGCATATATAAGAGGAGAGTAGGACTGTGGTTATTAGAGACTGAGAAGAGGAGCATGAAGAAGAGGCTAGGGAGAGTTTGGTTAATGAATACAAGGTTACAGCTAGATAGGAAAAATCAATTCTAGTGTTCTATAGCACTATCTTGTGAGTATAGTTAACAATGCTTTATTTTATATTTCCAGATAGGTAGAAGAAAGGATTTTGAATGTTCCCAACACAAACAAATAATAAATATTTGAAGTAATGGTATGCTAATTACCCTTATTTTATCATTACACATTGTATATATGCATTGAGATATCACCTTCTATTCCATAAATACATGTAACTTTCACATGTCAACTAAAAATTTAAAGGTAAATAAATACATGTAGGTGACCAGTATTTGTTATAGAAATTTTATTGAGGATTCAACACTAGAAACATGGGGGCAAACACACATATATATATGTGTGTATATATGCACATGTATGTATATGTGCACATAAAGATGCACATATATGTATGTATGTGTATAAATGCACACATGTAGATATTATATGCACACATTTGTATATGTAAATATGTATGTATGTAGATCAAAATTATGGTAACTGTTTTGTTTAGGTGGCATAAGATATTGTGTGATAAAGTGACAAAAATAAGACACTGTACTAATGATAGTGGTGCTGGTGGTAAAAGAAAGAAAAGGCATTTTACTTGGCAAAATATTGATGTAATAAAATATTAGATTTGTTCAGTGGTATTTAGGCTACATATCTATATAATTAAGCAAAAAGACAAATATTGAATCTTTACAAAAAACAGCATGATACATATTCACTCTAGGTTCATTAAAACATAAATAGTTCATAGTAGCTGAACTACAAAAAGAGACTGTAGTGCCTTATACTCATTGATGTTTTTTCACTTTAGTTTTCAATTTAGGTTTCTTATATATTAACTTATTTGTGCTCCACAAGAACTTGAGGTAGATATTGCAAAGTCTATTAACTTTATTTTATAGATTAGGAGTGAAGGTTTAGGAGGTTAGACAATTTGCCTAATATCACAGTGATTAAGACTAGATACAAACTCAGAACTGCTAACATCCTAGTCCATGTTTTTTTTCTGCCTATACTTTGCCTTTACTAATCATTGCAATGTATCATCCTCATGAATAGACCAATGAAAATCTCCGCTAAAATAGGGCTGCCAGATTTAGCAAATAAAAACACAGGACAGATAAATTTAAATTTCAGATGAATAATAATTTTTTGTATAAGTATGTCCCAATATTACATAGGATATATTTATGTTAAAGTATTTATTGTTTACTTAAGATTCAAATATAATCAGGAGTCATGTATTTTATCTGGCAATCCAAGCTTACAACAATATTTAGTCAAACACTACTTTGCAGTCAAATAGAAGTAGCCAATATTAAACAAGAGGTAGGCATTTATGTGAACATTTTGGTCACTGTAGACAGTAACCTGAAAAAGCAAAAAATAACCAAACTTTATTAGCCCTCCTCTCTATTGCAAGTTACAGAAGTATCCAAAATTTTAATATTCTCCACATATTATCTGTAAAGATACTGGCTGTATTTATATAGTGATAGTAGTTAGTGAAGCTTCCAGTTGCTAGTTTTATTTTTCATTTTTAGCTTGAAGTATAAGATATGGCTGTTCATATTAATCAAATTTGGTGGCTAATTGTTCAATTATTACTTTAATGTTTACTATGTCTAACTAAGCCACATGGAGTATGTTTCTTCTTTTTAACTTTTATTTAAGTTCAGGGGTGTATGTGCAGGTTGGTTACATAGGTATACTTGTGTCATGGGGGTTTGTTGTACAGATTATTTCATCACCCAGGGATTAGCTCTTGTACCCATTAGTTATTTTTCCTGATTCTCTCCCTCCTCCCAACCACCACCCCCACATAAGCCCCAGTGTGTGTTGTTCCCCTCTCACATGGAGTATGTTTCAATAGTGATTTATTGTATCACTATTGAATGTTGTTTGCCATCTTTTGCTAAAATGTTAACATATTTTCTAAATGTACTATGTTTATTTTTGCAGAAAATATGATGTATTGCTTGGATTCAAAATCAGAAAAGGTGTGCAGTAAGAGAACTAGCATTTACGAGAAAATAGGTAAAGTTTATGTGTTGGATTTTATTTCTGGCATTAAGACAGCCAGACTTAGCCTTTATAGGGATTTTGGTGTCCTTGGGCATCCTGACATGCCATTCAGGAGGGCCCTCGACTACTCTCCCTGAATGGTTCAACCTCTAGAGACTTTTATTTTCTAGGTCAAGGCCAGGCAATTGGTCCATGGACTGGATCCTGACTATTCATTATCACTGAGCCTATCATTATAATTAATTGTATTGATGCCTTTAGTTGTGTTATACTTTTCAGATTTTTAAATGTTCTTTTAGATTACCTCTACTTGACATTTGAATAATTGATATTTTTAATCGAGGTAAATTAGTTAAATTGGTGAGATGTAGATTAAAAAACCCAAATGTTAGACCGTGTCGTTCATCTTAAACTTCTATTTGCTAGTATTTGTGAAGTGAGGATTTGTTAGAATCAAGCGCTTAGTGATTACATTGAAACTTGAAGCCCAACTTCTATTTATTTTTAAACTTTACTTGAATGAGTTGTTAATAATGTACATAAGTATACCTACTATGGTGACATTTTAAAATCCTCTTATTTTTTCAAAAACAAAAAAGAAAAAACCTACCATAAAACTGTCTCCAGGACATATATACTAAGTCTGAGCATCTAAAATGTATTCTCAGAAGACAAAATTTTAGAATATTTCTTGTCAGTTGCTGCTGCATAAATATAGTACAAGCATCAATTGTCACTGAAAAAAGGAGGAGGACTATCTCCATGCACCACTATGATTAATTTCATTGGTAAATCATTAGGAGCCTTAGTAAAATTGGCAGTTAATCCAAAAAAATTTAAAAAGATACTTACCTGGTTTTTATGTCAGAAAGCTTTTGTTTCAATTTATCTGTCTTAGAGAAGAAATATAATAATGTGTTTGTAATAAATTAAAACTAGAAATTATTAAAAATGAAAGCTTTGACAGAATAAGGTTTCTAGTGAGAAAAAGAGTTCTGAGCAACACATTTTTTCCTCTGGAAAAAATTATTCTATAATTTTACAAAACCCAGCAGTGCTTTACAATTCTTCTTAAGAATTTTATTAATCAAAAACACCATGAAACTACTGACAAATCTACTGCAATACAAATATGTGATATATATGTGACTACTGCAATACACATATGTGACAAAATATTTACATCCAAAATATATGACTGTCTACAAATCAATAAGAAAATAACAGAAATGTAATTTACAAAAATAAAAAAGGGAGAGCCAAAATTATAATATTTCACAAAAGAAAATCTCCAATGCCAAAAAACATATATGAGGATGTTCTCATTAGGGAAACTAAAATTTGAATTATAATGAGATACTGTTACTTGGTTAAATGAAAAACACAGATAATAATATCAAATGGTGTCGAGGATGTGAAGTAATAACTGAACCACTCATATACTGCTGGCTTAAAGTGTCAAGTGACACAATGACTTTGGAAAAATGCTGGGTAAGGCCTACTGAAGTTGAGTGCATGCACACCCTATAATACAACAAATCCACTCCCAGGTTTAAACCCAATATATGTACATGCATATGTGTACTAAAAGTGATATACAAGAATTTTTACATCAGCACTGTTCACAATTGACAGAAAATAGATACAATTGAAATGTCCAACAAAAAGACTGGATATATAGATGAAAGTATACCCATACAGTAGAATATACAATGATGAAAATAAAATAAATCCTGCAACATGGATGAATCTCAACAATATAATATTTAATTAAAGCCAGAAACAAGAGTGCATACTGCATGATTGTGTATTTAAAGTTCAAAAGTTGGAAAAATCAAAGGGCCATGATAGTCAGGATAATGCTTACCCTTGTGTGTGGGATGAAAAGTGTTTGGAAGGGAGGTTGAGAGAGACTCCTGGGGTAGTGCATATTTCTTGGCATGGATGGTTGTTTCACAGATGTGTTCACTTTCTAAACATTCATTGAGCTGTATAGTCATCACTCATGCACTTTTCCGAATGTATGTTACACTTCAATAAAAAAATTTGAGAACAAGAAGAGTTCATAAAAGAAGATCAAAGAAAACAAGGACAGTCTGTTAAGACAAAAAATGATAACTAGAGTTGTCATTAAAAGGCCATGAATATTCATATAAAGTTTCTATAATTCTACCTTTTAATTATATTATAGCTGTTATCGTGCTATTATTGAATTAGCCTGAAACTGCCCATGGTACTCAGGTTATGCTCACACTAAGGCAATTTTTTTAGTCAATTGCTATTGTGTGGAACTGGTCTATTGCAAAAGACAATCAAAAACAGGAATATTATGCAGAATTTTACTACTCATTTCTGCACACTTTCATTACATAAAGTTAGGTAATAGATGTAAAATTGTTTTTGGATCCAGGTGTTCTGGTATATAATTATGTTATAGAATAGCAATCACAGAAATTCCATCTGATAACAATATACAGTTAAACTGTTTAGTAAGATCTTTATGGGAATCAAAATATTCCTATGTTCTTCTAAGATTTATTCCCCTAAAACATCATACATACAGAAGCATGAAAGGTAAGTCATATTTCTATAACTATTTTGTGTTGATTATAGTTTGCAAGGACCAATGCAGAGTGATTTTCTTCTGTTATTATATAAAAACTATTCTCTGGCCTTGACAAAGTGTTCATTATCAAGCCGGGAGCAGATGCTGTTAAACTTTCTAACCTAGAGAAAGACACTTCCCAGTGTATAACTATATTCTACTTATGAATAATGAGTAGTTTAACATAACCTTTTACTTTACTTTGACATCTGAGAAGTTTAATGAGAGAATACTGTTGAGCAACCCCACAATCCCAACCTCTCTTTACTCTTAAGACTATAGACTTGAAATTAAATGATATGTTACACACGCTTTTACTTATATAAATAGAATTTAGATTGTTCTAATAGATGGATCACATAGGAGAATCATAAAGTACACTTAACTTTTGAGGCATTTAAGTTAATAAGATTGGAAGGATGTGAGACATTCTGACTATATGGAGCTATGTCAAACTAAATATAATGAATATTTATATATATAAATATTTTAATAATACTCAATATTTTATACAATATTTAAACAAATATTTAGATAATTATTTCCTTATTCTTGGATAATACATGGAAATCTGTACATATTTTTTTCACATGTAAGTAACAATAGGGGTCTTTTTATTGAAGCACATTTCTTGGAATTAAGAAATTAATATTATACTGATATATGTATTACTTTTTAAAACATCATATAGCTAATATACAAAGTCCTATAACATCCAACTCCAACATCTGTAAGACAAATTGAGATAAAATTAATCAGATCTACCAACCTTATATTTCTCACCTAAAATCATAGAAACTCAGAAGTAAAAGGATATTAGAGCTCAACTACTATAACCTCTCATTGTTTTTTATCTTGACTGTACAACAATTGTATAAGTTACAGTTGCTCTGTTTGCATACAGTGAGCACAAAACTCACTACTACTTCCCCAGAAATCTCACTACTTTTCAGACAGCTGTAATTTTTATACATCTTTTTTTTTGTGTTGCACTGGAGACTGCTAGTAGATTATGCAATATTCAGTTTCTTCTTCTTCCTTGTTAACATAATGCCTAAATCAGGGGTAGCTGCATAATTTTTTCAGGGTCCAGTACAAAACAAAAATGCAGAGCCCTGATTGAGGGTGAGGAAGTCAATCTTCCTTTTTCATGGACCCACCATCCTAACTTATGGGAGATGAGCAACTTCCAAAGGATTGCAACCTCCCTGCTGGTTGTGATTGGAACCTGGTATGTGAGGAGGCAAGAAGTCCCCAGTGAGTTGCCTGTTGAGCTGTCAGCCTAGTGTTGAGATGGTTGCTGTTTTTTCTCTCCCTGAGATGCCATGGGGTGCAAACTCAACCTCAAAATTTTCCAAACTCTTACTAAGCCCCCCACCTGGGATGGAGGGCAATGGAAGAACATGGGCCTTCCCCCACCAATGCATGCCATTGCTGAGACTAGCTCAGTTGTGGAGACCCTAACCCGTGGTGCTAGAGGAATTAAAGACACATACACACAGAAATATAGTGTGTGGAGTGGGAAATCAGGGGACTCGCAGCCTTCAGAGCTCAGAGCATCGAACAGAGATTTACACACATATTTATTGACAGCAAGCCAGTGATAAACATTGTTTCTATAAAGTATAGATTAACTAAAAGTATTCCTTACGGGAAACAAAGTGTAGGCCACAACAAAGGGATGGGCTCTGGCTAGTTATCTGCAGCAGGAACATGTCCTTAAGGCACAGATTGCTCATGCTATTGTTTGTGGTTCAGGAACGCCTTTAAGTGGTTTTCCACCCTCGGTGGGCTAGGTGTTCCTTGCTCTCATTCCAGGAAACCCACAACCTTCATCGTGGGCGTCATGGCCATCACGAACATGTCACAGTGCTGCAGAGATTTTATTTATGGCCAGCTTAGGGGCCAATTTAAGGCCAGATGTTGGGGCCTATCCCCAGCATCCCATACACCACCTGGGCACAGAGCAGCACAGTAGTGAGGCAAGGGCAGGGAAAGAGAGGCTGATAAGTTGTCCTCAGAAGCCAGGGAGAAGGCAATAGCTATGATTGCTTACAGGCCAATATTCCAACATATGGGCACATACTCCAATATCCCATTAGTCTTAACTTAGAAAAAAATAAATACAAAGGTTAAAATATTAAGAATTTTAAGCCAGCAACCTCAGTGCATTCAATCTCAAGTACAGGGTCATTCTGAGTTGATGGTCCTCTGCAACTGTCCTGGTGGCACACCCATGCAGGGTCACATTGTACCCTAAATTAAAGGATGAAAACTGTGTGTTGGAGCTGAAAGAAACTGGCCCAAATGATTTTATGAAGCCTATGTACTAGCACTGGTTTGCCTGTTTTCAAATATCTTTTACAAAGAGAATGCCATCCACTCTAATTTTTATCCCTCTATATATTGGTCTCTCTTAACAACTGCTAAATGCAATTCCTAATTAATAGACATAGTTAAATTTACCTTCCTGTTGCTTCCATACTTTAGTCCTTGCTGTATTATATGGGATAGTAAATAAATAAACACACAAATATATAACAGCATTAACTTGTAAAGCGTGTTTTACCAAAAGCCTGTAACATTTTCTGTAAATACCTTTAGAAACTGTTACTGATTTTGTCTTTATACTGTGTAACTTTTCACCATTTCTACCAAATTATTCTTTTTCCATTTTCCTTTACTTACTCAGAATTGAACTAAATGTCAGGCCGTGCCTGGATATATCAGAGTAGTAGTTCACTAGAGTAAAGGGAAGAAAAGAAGTAATCCTCATGCTACCAAATGCCAACTCTAAATCATTTAACTATTTTTTATCCTCTCTCTGTCTCTGATTTTGCAGTATTTTCGGTTGGCATTATGCATGTGCTACCAAAGACTGAACTTATTTTTAAGACACTCTCATTCATTTCGTTTTATTTGCACCCATTTTTGATTCTTCCATTATACCTTGAAATAAATGCAGCAACATTTAAAACATTAAATAGCTAATTTTACTTTTTTAAAAATCTATATTTTCAACAATGAATGTATTATTTTTATTATGAACAGCTAAGTAGCAATGGCCCTATACTGAACTTTATTTATTTTGAGACAGGGTCTCGCTCTGTTGCCCAGGCAGGAGTGCAGTGGTGAGATCTCAACTCACTGCAACCTCCAACTCCCTGGCTCAAGTGATCCTCCCACCTCCGCCTCCTGAGTAGTTGGGACTACAGGTAGGGGCCACCAAGCCTGCACAGTTTTTGTATTTTGTATAGAGATGGGGTTTCACTCCTGGGCTCAAGCAATCTACCCATGTGGACCTCCCAAAGTTTTGGGATTACAGGAAGCAGTCACTACACACCTGGCCTGCTCCTAAATTTTTAGTTTGACAGTTATTTTAATTTATATTTTAAATGCAGAGGACTCACGTTCTAGATCGCTCCTTTGATACTTGGATATCCTGAAACACAAAAGATACCTGCATTCCAACACCAGCTCCACTAATTAAATGCGCATATCATGCTGTATGAAATCTGGTGCAGGGGTGGGGTCTTGAAAAGGATAGTGGATTAGTAAGAGTTTAGGTAAAATTAATTCTAAAATACACTGCACAGCAATAGATATTTCACTATCATTTAACAGGAAATATTATCTAAGATTCCCATACTAATGCCACAACAATCATATGACTTATTAGTTATGACATTCTGCCCATTAAATGCTATTTTACCGTTCACCAATAAGATCAAAATTTAGTTCTAGTATCTTAGTTTCTTTTGGAAATCATTCAGTAATTTAAAACACATAAGCTGTAAGACATGTTCGCCAAATGTTGTATACTTTAATCCCGATTCCCCAAAGCAGTGAAAACAGTGGTCTCAGTTTTATGTGCCCCATCTGGAACTAACCCCTAGGGTGTAGTAATGAAGTTTAATCTTATTTGGTGTTTGCAGTTAGTGTAATTACATAAAAATGTCCCCAATTATTTTATAAACCTCAGTTATTACATTAATATTCACTCATTCACTTCAAACCAAAACACAGTGATGAGATTTTATTAATATTTACATAGTAATACCATTTAAGTGTTGCCAAATAAATAATAAAACAACTGTCCCGAGAAAAGTGCTGTCTTAAAGAAAGTTTCTAGTAGAATAAAAACCCCCACCTCTCTGAAATCGATTAGTGAGTCCACCTCATTCCAATAAAAAGATTTCACAGATACTAAAGAATAAAGAAGAATAGCTATATTCTATGTATGAACCCAGCATATGAGGTTATTAATGCAAAATATTGTGAATGTCTTACATTCCAGGTGAATGAAAAATTGAAAGAGTTATCCAAAAAACCTAACTGCTCAAAAGAAACTTTAATTTAGAAATACACTTTGCTATTCAACAAATAATTTTCCAGTGCTTACTACATGTAGGGTCCTGTGGAAATTATAGAAGTTCATACATCTTCCATATTGTTTTTCAGAAAGGGTAGAAGGATACATGTAAACAAAGACTTCACTTTCATCAGGACATTCACAGTTTATCTACACAATGAGCAATGATTGAACATTACTTATGAGACTAAAGTCAGTTTTATATATTCCTAAGTGAGAAATGAAAAAGAACTGAAAATGTAAACACTCTATGAAGCATAATTGAGTCATTTAATCAAACACACACAAATATAAACACACACATACATACATACACACACATCAGTTTTAATGGTGATTTTTGGCTTCTCCACACATTTAATTTGCCCACTATACCAATTCACCTCTTGCTTTGGTCCATTTGTATGGCTATGAAATAATACCTGAGGCTGGGTAATTTATAAAGAAAGGATATTTATTTGCCTTATGGCTCTGCAGGCTGTACAAAAAACATGGCATCAGCATCTGCTTCTGGTGAGGGTCTCAGGAATCTTCAGCTGATGGCAAAAGGTTTTTGTCACTCAGATAATAAGTGTAGTCCGCAGTAAGCAGGTTTTCAGTCCTCATCCTCCGCTTACCCTCAACCCCCAAGTAGGCCCCTGTGTCTTTCATTCTTTGTGTCCATATATACTCAATTATTTGTGTCCATATGTACTCAATGTTTAGTTTCTGCTTATAAGTGAGAGAATACGTTATTTGTTTTCTGTTAGTATGTTAGTTTACTTAGAATAATGGCCTCCAGCTCCATCCACGCTGCTGTAAAAGATATTATCTCATTCTTACTTATGACTGCATAGTATTCCATGGCATATGTGGACCACGTTTTCTTTATTCAGTCTACCATTGATAAGCATTTAGGTTGATTCCATATTTTTGCTATAGTGAAAAGTGCTATGATGAACATATGTGGGCATGTGCCTTTAGAGTTAGAAAATTAATATTTTGATTATAGTAATTCTAAAGATACTTTATATCACACGGTACCACTCTTCTCATTAACATTTCATCCTGGAGTCATCAAAATCTATGTTTTTTAATATAATATTTTTGCTATCAAGTGTTTGGTTAATGCAACATTTCTTAGAAGAATTTATAAAATAACCACATTAATTAATGTTGGGCTGTTATGCTAGCTTTGAAATTATGTGCAGTTAGATCACTTTGATTCTCACTTTAGAAATGTTAAACACATGTGATGCACCAACTCTTCTACTCTCTTCCTACAATCCTTTGTCTCATAGGGGTTAAACTAAACACTCCACTATGGGCTCTCAGCCTCTGACATCTACTCTGCACATGTTGGTGATGCTAATCCTTCTGATGTGATCACAAGTTCAGGAAATGACTACTGTATTAGAGTTGCCACTTGAAAAACAATTGTAAAATGTCTTTGATTGTAAGATACATCCAAAGTTTAGATATGTAAAAATGTGAAAAAAAGGGAATCTTAGAATCCATAAAAATTTTAAGAATTCTAACAAAATATTAAGACATCAATAGTGACATTTAGCAGACTGGAATAAATAATTATGTACAGTCAACTATTTTTATGGAAATGTTTCCTGGAACCCCATGTTTTTCTCACATCTCCAGTAAAATACTTGAATATATCTGCAAATATATTCTTTTTCTTTCTCCTTTTTAAAGTAATTTCCACACTTCTGCTGTATAACACATGAAATACTAGATATTCATTTTGCAGATTCAGGACAATTTTTTTTCTCAAGCCATCTCATCCTAAACAAAGCCAACAACATATTTCTACTTTGTTTATTTTTTGTTCTGCTGTGCACCAGGATACACTATGTGACTTGACAACTCTCATAGGCTTTACTTAAAAATAAGACCCAGTTTTATTCTACCATAAAATTTCACAGTTTGGTTGGTAATTTCTAATGCTCCTCTATCATCCCATCATCTGAAGAGTGGAAGAGCATAGCACCTTTTGTCAAGGATACTTACTAACTAAAAAAAGAATGAACTTCCTTTCTACTTCTTTTCTCAATTGAAAGTAATATTTTCTGAAACAATAAAGCTCACTTATACTATTGTGATTTCTTCAAAATCTGATGTTTAAGCCCATTTTTTTATATCAGTTCCTCCAAGGACTTGTCTTATGATACTCAAAATCAAGATTTTATATTCTAAATGTCTTTTCCCTACATATTATGCACGTCCAAAATGTCACTTATTTTTTCTTTACATTCATAAGGTAAAAACATATATTGAATGAAAAACCCAGCAATCTCATGTGGTTTAACTTAATATTATGCTTTTTTTAATACTTTTTAAAATTATACTTTAAGTTCTGGGGTACATGTGCAGAATGTGCAGGTTTGTTACATAGGTATGCATGTGCCATGGTGGTTTGCTGCATTCACCAACCCATAATCTACATTAGGTTTTTCTCTTAATGCTATCTCTCCCCCAGCCCCCCACCCCCTGACAGGCTCTGGTGTGTGATGTTCCCCTCCCTGTGTCCATGTGTTCTCATTGTTCAACTCCCACTTATGAGTGAAAACATGTGGTGTTTGGTTTTCTGTTCCTGTGTTAGTTTGCTGAGAATTATGGTTTCCAGCTTCATCCATGTCCCTACAAAGGACATGAACTCATCCTTTTTTATGGCTGCATAGTATTCCATGGTGTATATGTGCCACATTTTCTTTATCCAGTCTATCATTGATGGGCATTTGGGTTGGTGCCAAGTCTTTGCTATGGTGACAGTGCTGCAATAAACATATGTGTGCATGTGTCTTTATAGTAGAATGATTTATAACCCTTTGGGTATATACCCCGTAATGGGATTGCTTGCTCAAATGGTATTTCTAGTTCTAGATCCTTGAGGAATCACCACACTGTCTTCCACAATGGTTGAACTAATTTATACTCCCACAAACAGTGTAAAAGTGCTCCTATTTCTCCACATCCTCTCCAGTATCTGTTGTTTCCTGACTTTTTAATGATCGCCATTCTAACTGGTGTGAGATGGTATCTCATTGTGGTTTTGGTTTGCATTTCTCTAATGACCAGTGATGATGAGCACTGTCTCATGTTTGTTGGCTGCATAAAAGTCTTCTTTTGAGAAGTGCCTGTTCAAATCCTTCACTCACATTTTAATGGGGTGGTTTGTTTTTTTCTTGTAAATTTGTTTAAGCTCCTTGTAGATTCTGGGTATTAGTCCTTTGTCAGCTGGATAGATTGCAAAAATTTTCTCCCATTCTGTAGGTTTCCTGTTCCCTCTGATGATAGTTTCTTTTTGCTGTGCAGAAGCTCTTTAGTTTAATTAGATCTCATTTGTCAATTTTGGATTTGGTCCCATTGCTTTTGGTGTTTTAGTCATGAAGTCTTTGCCCATGCCTATGTCCTGTATGGTATTGCCTAGGTTTTCTTTTAGGGTTTTTATGGTTTTAGGTCTTACATGTAAGCCTTTAATCCATCTTGAGTTAATTTTTGTATAAGGTGTAAGGAAGAGATTCAGTTTCAGCTTTCTGCATATGGCTAGCCAGTTTTCCCAACACCATTTATTAAATAGGGAATCCTTTCCCCATTGCTTGTTTTTCTCAGGTTTGTCAGATGATTGTAGATGTGTGGTGTCATTTCTGAGGCCTCTGTTCCATTCCATTGGTCTACGTATCTGTTTTGTTACCAGTAACATGCTGTTTTGGTTACTATAGCCTTGTAGTATAGTTTGAAGTCAGGTAGCGTGATGTCTCCAGCTTTGTTCTTTTTGCTTAGGATTGTCTTGGCAAGGTGGGCCCTTTTTTGCTTCCATGTGAAATTTAAAGTAGATTTTTCCAATTCTGTGAAGAAAGGTAATGGTAGCATGATGGGGATAGCATTGAATCTATAAATTACTTTGGGCAGTATAGCCATTTTCACGATATTGATTCTTCCCTTTCATGAGCCTGGAATGTTTTTCCATTTGTTTGTGTCCTCTCTTATTTCATTGAGCAGTGGTTTGTCGTTCTCCTTGAAGAGGTCCTTCAAATCCCTTGTAAGTTGTATTCCTAGGAATTTTATTCTCTTTGTAGCAATTGCAAATTGGAGTTCACTCATGATTTGTCTCACTGTGTTATTGGTGTATAGGAAAGCTTGTGATTTTTGCACATTGATTTTGTATCCTGAGACTTTGCTGAAGTTGCTTATCAGCTTAAGGAGATTTTGGGCTGAGATGATGGGGTTTTCTAAATATACAATCATGTCATCTGCAAACAGAGACAATTTGACTTCCTCTTTTCCTATTTGAATACCTTTTATTTCTTTCTCTTGCCTGATTGCCCTGGTCAGAACTTCTAATACTATGTCAAATGGGAGTGACAAGAGAGGTCATCCTTGTCTTGTGCCAGTTTTCAAAGGGAATTCTTCTAGTTTTTGCCTATTCAGTATGATATTGGGTGTGGGTTTGTCATAAATAGCTCTTATTATTTTGAGATACATTCCATCAATACCTAGTTTATTCATACTTTTTAGCATGAAGTGCTGTTGAATTTTGTTGAAGGTCTTTTGTGCATCTATTGAGATAATCATGTGGTTTTTATCGTTGCCCGCCAGTATTATGCTTTAATCATTAGTACCACAATTAAGATAATTATCCTATTTTTAACATGGCTTTTCTGGAAAGTCAGCCTTGTTATATTCATAGTGGGAAGTTAAGATCCAGAATAAACATGGAAGAGGGCTTCTTAGAGGAAATGAGGGATTGGTAGCATCAATTAAACCACAGAATGTAGGTGTGGATTGCCTACTCTGTCTTGTTTCATCTTTCCTGGCTCTATTTATGCTTATGTAATGAAATACATGAGTGTCATTTCTGAAAACTGTGTCTCTGTTGCTACTGGTTACCACCTCTGTTTTAATCAGAAACCATGTTGTTTTCCTATTCAGCATTAAATTTGCAAGCAAAATTTACTAGAAAAATAATAGTTCTTCTAAAACATTTACTTAAAAATAAGGAAAGAAAAATAAACTGATGTGGGGATAATGGCTGTACAGATTATGTGGTCATATAAGCCCAGAGTGATTATTTGCTTAAAATCGTAAGGTTTGTCGATTAGTCAGTGGGAAAATGGATACTGAAATTCACCTCTTATAATTCCTAGTTAACAGTTTATTAAAAAATCCAGGAGTAAGAAACAGTCCCTCCATTAAAGGAGGATTGTTGCCTGATTGGAGACATTGAAAATACACACACACACACACACTCACACACAAACACATACACACACACCCTTAAATATAGTATGAATCATGTTCAAAATTTACTGGCTATTTAAGTTTTATCTCATGTAATATTTCTAAAATCGCCAACCCACCAACTCATGATGATTTCCTTAGTCATCTATTTCTGAAACAATGCTGTGAAACAAAGCATCCCCCAATTTAGTGGCTTGCTACAACAAATATTTGTTCTTATAGTTCTCTTGTTCGGCTGATCCAGGCTAAGCTCAACTGGGTAACTCTTCTTCAGTCTAGACAGAATGCTTAGTGCTATAGAACCATTGGGGTTGGAATCAGGTTGTAGATTGAATTCAGGTCTGCAATAAATGTTTCCTAGCCTTCTTAAACCAACACCTACTGATGACATATTCTTGTCATGGTGAAGGAAAAGAATACAAGAAGCCATGTCAAACTATGCTAGCATATGTAAGGATTTTGTCCTATATGCTAACATTTTATTGACCAATGCAAGTTGCTTAGCGTTGCCCAATATAAATGAGCTGGGGAAGTATTCTTCCCCCACAATGGGAGAACACTGTAAAGTTATATGTCAAATGGCATAAATGTTTAATCCCATTATGGAGAAGTGAAGACTTAGAGTCAATAATCCATATTACTATGGATCTTTCTTTTCTTTAGACATCCCAAAATGTTTCTATGCTTTAGTTATATATTACTAAATATTCTCACTCATCTTTTAAAAAAAATGTTAGGGACTCAAAATTATAATGCAGAAAATATGTGGTAGAAATGAGAATAAACCAAAGCTTCTTGGATTCCAAAGTTGGTAATGATAACTGCTGTGGTATAGTGTTGCTTTTACCAGAAAATCATTAGTTGATTGAAGATTTTAATTTCTCTATTAACTAGCATAATATCTTGCTAAGATAACTAACTCAACAAATACTTGAAAGTTTAAATTCTATTGAGTAACAAACATTTTGATTTGAGCTATCAAAAGGGACTAGATACTGGAATACAGGCTCTATATGTTGGTTGAATCTAATCAGTACACACATACTATACCAATTATTTTAGAGAGATAATATAATATAAAATATGTTAACCAGGTATTATAAAACTGTAAAGGTAAAGGAAGGACTATGAAGTATCACAGAAGTAGTAGCTTCAGGAAGCAACTCCTAGATCTAGATCTCAGGGAACAAAATGAAGAGACTTACATTATTAAAAGCTAGAAGGTTGGAGGAGTGCCCTCACAAAGTTAGGATCAAACAGCCTCAATGAGTGCTGGTACCTCTGAAATACCTAGTTAGCCTGGTCATAGATATGTGAAAACAGCAACTTGGAACCAATTGATGTTATAACCAATGTCATTGTCAGGGTGAAAACATTGCTGTGATATTATGAGGCAAAACAATGTGAACCATTTTTCTCCTTCAGTAATTTAGTCTCCCTTCTCTCCCCACACCCCTCTCCTGCAACTCTATTGCTCTCTGTCTCTCTCACTTCCTATTGGCAGTGACTATAAAGAAGTCACCTGCCAGTAAAGAAAGGTGGTTTGTAGAATCCCAGTTACAACATCAGAATACAAATATAAAAAGGTGGGTTTAAAACTGAGAGATAATGATTTAATTATTATTCGATATCATCTAAAAATACACCATATTTATTTCAACTCTAATGTAAAATGTATTAAACTTTTATTTTTTAAAGGTGTTCCCAACAAGGGATAAAAATGCAAAGTAATTACTTTGATTGAGAAAGTGCTTTTCCCTTACACTGAAGGAATAGCTTCTTACTTAAATTTAATTTCAAAGTTTAGTTCAAACAAATTTTTATACTCTCAAAATTTTATTTTTCCTTTTTTAGTGGTATAAAGGCAAAGGCTCTCTGCTGAAATCATTTTCAGATCTAAATAAGTATAAGAAATTAAGAAACCTTTTTATTTGAGGGTACTATAAATGATAAAGACTGAAATATGTAATACTGTACTGTGATTATAATAAGCAGAAACTCATAACAAACAAATATATAGTTTTTTTACATAAAAACCTTGTCTTCTCGTCTTTGCAATCACCTTGGGCAAATCTTTATAAGGAAATCCTTTTCTGTTCAGCTATGTGGACTGTAAAATTATTCTTCTCGAATGAAATGAAAGTGTTCTCTTTATTGTAAATAAAACTTTTTAACAGTTGAAGCAAAAAGAAGTATGAATTTTTTTTTAGTTTCTAGTCATTGGTATGACAAAGTTTCCAAAAGCTGGAGACAGGTATGTTTCATCATTATTTTAGAGCTCTTCTCTGATTATTTATGACTATATTTCGGCAACCATAAAACATATGCTAATCAGTGAATTTAATAAAACATCAACTAAATCTCTGGAAAAGGCAGTAAATAGCTAAATTACATTTAACAGCAATACAATTCAAGAGATTTAGCTATTTAAAACTGTCATATTCCTATGGAGGAGAAGTAAGACAGAATGTGGCTAAGCTGTAATTTCCTGACAGGCTTTAGAGATAATTGAAATAGCCTATTCTGTCATTTTGTAAAAAGATATTTCACTCTTCAAGTAAGTTCAGCATGCAAATGATGTTTGGAAAGTTTATAAGAGATGAATGAAGTATCGTATCTGAATCCCGTATGTGTGTGTGTGTGTGTGTGTGTGTATG
This sequence comes from Homo sapiens, assembly GCF_000001405.40. Classification (NCBI taxonomy): domain Eukaryota; kingdom Metazoa; phylum Chordata; class Mammalia; order Primates; family Hominidae; genus Homo; species Homo sapiens. Next base: position 89,141,025 of record NC_000023.11, on the reverse strand, counting down.
TGTGTGCATACTCCTTCCCCTCCAAAGATAGTGGATGTAGTTTCCTGAAAGAGTACAAATAACGAAAATAACTGAGAGTAAGTTGCTAAAGTTTTTGTGAAACAACTCTTCTGAGGAATGTAAATGCAAAGAACTTTTATGCCCTGAAGGCTAAAACGTCATATAGACCAAACTTACTGGGAAATCCAAAGAAGCTTGTCTGAATTAGGTTTCCTGTTTGGAGGGAGTTATCTTTTTCCAGATCAGTCATTTATAATCAGTGACTCAGTGGTCCCCAATTAAGCTTAGCTATATTTCCACCAATCTCTTGTAGTTTTGTCAAAACTTGTCACAGAAATTACCCATAGTAATTATGGCACATATATTTCAGATTATTACAAATTGACTGAGTAGTGAATAAACATTAATATATGCACCATTCATCTGACATTTGTATACCACATTTTCTTCTCTAAAATTGACTGACTTCTATCTCTTTCATAGTATCTCTGAGTACTTTCACTTATTCTTCACTTCTTTGACATGATGACTACACCTTTCCTAATTCTGACATTAAATTCATAATACTTATATTAAACACAAATTTGTGGCAATAGGTATAATGCTTTCATAGTGTTTTTCAATCTATAATGAGCACATAAATCACCTGGAGATCTTGAAAACATACAGATCCTAATTTAGGAGTTTGGGCATTAAACCTGGGATTTTATATTTCTAACAAACTTCCATGTTATGCTAATACTGCTGGCTGGAGAACCACACTTTGGGCCTTAGAGAATCTGGTTCCAGATTCTGCCTTTTTCTTTTTAAATTTCTTTTAGGCCCTAGCATACAATTTTTTTAAAGTTTAATTTTGTGCTTGCTTGTACTCATTCTGTCTCATACACAACAACATTTACACAAACAAAATTGTGGTAACTAAAATGTTTTTTATTCCTGTGTAATCAAATTTTTCCTAGACCTCAGCAACCTATATATATATTATTAAGGGTTATAGTAAGAGCAGTAAACAAAATTTTATTGGTTTTTTACCTCATGCATTCAAACAGGATATTATTAATAGTAATCACAGAATTGCCCCAGTTTATTTATGGGGTCTGCAGCATTATCTAATATGCACATGAGAATGTTTATTTCCATGGAGTATTATTCCTACTCAACTCATTCTTAATGACTATATATCTGCTGGTCATCATTATCTCCTGCTGCTTCTGAAGTAACAGAGTCCACAAGATGGAAATCCTGCAGTGTTCCATGTTGCAATAGGGAAAAATAGTTTTTATTCTCCTTTCACATTAGAAGTGTTAGAGTGATATCAAAGCATTTTTGCTTGTATCACAGTATTTCATAGAACAATTAGTGGTAGATGACTATCAGTTTTGGCTTAGAGTCTCCTTACTCTCTAGATGATTCATCCTTTAGTCCAATGGATAACTGGGAAGATAAATTAAGCTCAACTGTAAATAATATGATGTTTGTATAATGCTCCCCCACCAATTCTCATAATAAAGGCTTGGTATTTGGTCAGGATAGTCATATCTAGCTACTTTTCTGTCAATATATATCTCAGGATACTTTTTAGCACCTCTAGTCAAGTGGACTTCCAGAAAACTCTATCCACCATTTTTTCTAACATTTCCCCAGACAAATCCACACACCAGTGAATCTCAGGCCATGAACAGTCTGGCAATTCAAGTTGAAAGTAAAATCACCACACACCTGTTCTTTAGATACCAATTTATTCCCTTTTAAATAATAGAAGTGATACATCCTTCAAAACATGTGTGATTAATTCTCATCTTAATCTTTATTCCTTAAGCATGCTTACTAACCCACTCTTTCTATTCACTTTTATGAGCAATCAATTAATTTTTAAATGTAGATCATTTTATTTCCTTGTCTTTTCTTCCTTAATGAATTTTAATATTATTGAGAACAAAGGCCACAGACTTCCAGGTGTGTACAATTGTTATTTGCTTAAAGGGTTTGAAAAATCATTGTTGACTGAACAGTAATGAAAATATGTGACCATAAGTAGATGCTAAAGTTTTATTGGGCTAGGAATTTTTTTATAGAGTTCCAAAATGCCCAAGCCTGATAACAGGCATAAATATGAAGAGCTACGTTATTATAAAATATACTATGTATATAATATGTATAAAATATAAATAAATATTTATATTATAAAAGTAATTTAATGCTTATGCTTTGCTTACAGTGGTAGCTATAAGAAAGCTATATATAAAAGATATGGATGTTTTATAAGTGATTGAGAAAAAATGGTGAACACGTGAATGTTAGAAGTTTATTATATTTAGCGTGTAATAGTTGAGATCTGTGTAATAATATACTTGGTGGAACAAAAGTGTCATTCCATTTAGTAGTTTTTAATGATAACTTTTCCTTTCCTTGCAAAACTACCTGTAAAGAAGATAAAAATAAAGACATTAATTTTTCATATCCCACCACCACCTGTTGTTTCCATGTAGATTATATTTACAGACCCACGGTTCATCATTCTTTATTTTGTAAAAATACCCCCACTTGTGTCAATTGAAAGAGACTGAATTATTTGTTGGCTTGAAGAAAAATATGTTTTGAATCATAGTGCTGTTTGAAAATTACAGGTGTAAAAACAACGGAAAAATTTTGTTATCTGAACCAATGTGAGATATCATTTTATGGAATGGATTAATTTTTTGTGAATTTAGAACCTACTGTTGGTTTTTATCATGTATGTTTTGTGCAGCTGTAACTGAATACCTGAGAGTAGGTAATTTATAATGAACAAAAATTTATTTCTTACCATTCCAGATGCTGGGAAGTCGATGATCTAAGTCCTGATATCTGGCAAGAGCCTTTCTGATGTGTCAAACATAACATGAACAAAGGTATCACATTGCAAAAGGGCAAAGAGAGGGCAAGAGAGAGTAAAAGGGGCTGAACTTGTCTTTTTGCAGTGAACCCACTCCTGCAATAATGGCATTAAACTATTCATGAAAGTGGAGCCCTTATGGGTCATTCACCTCCTAAAGGCCGTAATTCTTAATATTGTTACAAGGACACTTAACTTTCAACATGTGTTTTGGAAGGACAAACATTCAAACTATAGCAGTGTGCCCCTTGTCTCACAAAACTCATGTCCTTTTCACACACAAAATACACTGATTCCATCTGAATAGTCTGAAGAATCTTGTTCTAACACCAACTTAGAAGTCCAAAGTCTCCTCTAAACATCATGCAAGTGAGACTCAGGCACGATTCATGCTGAGGCAAATTGTTGTCCTGTCCTGAAGTGAGCCTGTGAAATCAAACAAGTTATGCATTTCCAAACTAAAATGTCAGAACAGGCATGAGCTAGACATACCATTTAAACATACAATATTTTTCTTAATAAGAAATGTTGAGTCATTGTTTCTGACATTATATGGATAAAATGTTTTTAACATATGTACTTTTATATCATAAATTATCTTCACTTTCAAACCTCACAGTTATAGTTCTTGGTACATCATATCAATTTTGATCAAGTGGAAATTATTTCAGCATCACAAGTCCATTCATGGGATGGTATTCTAGATATATAGGAAAATAGGAAATTGATTGTACCAAGAAAACATAGTATTTTTTTATATATGTTTAGAATTTCAAATTAGAATTTTGGTCTAGTTTAGATATCTATTGCTTTCTATGTGGCACTTTCATACTCAAAGTAAAGATGTAGCAATTCCAGTAGACCTATGATATTTGTGTATATGTCTGGAGGCCCTTATGAATGTGCCAGTTCATAAATATTATTGTAGCATGTAAGTTCTCCTATAAAATACAATAATTATTTTAAAAAATGAGTAATCTTTTTAGATAATTTTATTGTAAGATAAACAGAAAAAAGTCTGATTTAATCTGAGTTCTTCATTCTAGATATAGTCTCTCATTCTACATATAATTTTATTCTAGTCATATTCTCTCCGTGATACTAATTTCAACTGTTAAAAATGCCATTTTTGTTACACTGTATTAGTTTCTCTATTGTAATCATAAATGCTAGCAGTTCGCATTAATTTCAGGATAAATTTTCCTCAAGCAATGATGTTTTCATCATATCAATAAAAATAATGTAAATTTTGAACAAAATAAACTAAATATAATTGAAATGTAGATGTTGGATAAGCATTTACGTTTACTCATTGCTAAGATGCTCATTTCAATGCACTTACCTGATAGGACCTAGAATAAAGTCTGTGATTTGAAAAACATTTTAAAAAACAATATATAAAATTGACATTTGTGATACTGTACCTTCCCTTAAACAAATGTTCCATGGAAAATCATTCCACAGGGTTATACTAGACTGTACTTTGTCAACTTGGCTAAGCTAGGAACTATGTGTCTTAGATTCACATTGCAAAAATTTATCAGGTTAGAGTTAGCCAAAAACAGATCTTTTATGAGATTTGAAAAGCAGGAAAGAAGAAGAAACCAATATTTTGAAAATACTGGAAAAATGACAAAGTGATAAATGGAAACTTACGTCTAGCGGTCTCCATTTTCTGGTGTATCTTCTCAAATTTTGTATCATCCTTTCATGAATGGTGCCACCAAGGACTTGACTACCTCACCTTACTTACTTACTATGACCCTTAGAGGCAATTTCTTCAAGAGACTTCTCCACAGAGCTCCTTCTTCCTGAATTGAGTTCAGTAGCCAGGCACATATAATCTCCGGGCTTTTCTTGCAATCTGTGATCTGCCTACTCAGATCACTACTTATTATGTGGTGTGATTATTATAGTTATGTGATTATTATGGTTATATTATGGTTATTATTATCGATAGTGATTTTATCCCTCTTCTATAATTTCACTTTTCCAGAAATTTTAATGCAAGTGTTTATTTCTAATATCATGTTTCCACAATGATTTCAGTGTCTCTTCAATCATGGTTAACCTCTGATATGCACAGATTCTTCACAGATCTGCTGTGGGTGGTGGAAAGAAATGGCTAGTGTTTAACAAAGTAAATAAATTGCTAGATTTAAAACAATTGCTAGATGTTTAATCTTTGAAATTTTAATGTCAATAATGTTTAATTTACTCATCAGTAAAATATCAGTAACAATAGTGTATCTAACTAATTGAGTTACTGGGGAAATCAAATATCATATTTTACATGACAGGTGTTTAGTATTGTAATACGTGCTAACTAGCTTGGTTATGTAAAGTTAAATAGGTTTATTTACTGTAGGACATATCAGGGGCTTGAACATGCTGAAACATATCCTTAGGAGAGGAAAAAAAAGTAGTGGAAGAAAGAAAGGAAAGAAGGAAGAGAGGAAGAGAGAAAGAGAAAGAAAGAAAAAAAGAAGGAAAGAAAGAAAGAAAACAAAAGGAAAGAGAAAGGAAGGAAGGAGAAAGAAAGAAAAGAGACGTTTTGTTACATAATAATAGCCACAAGAAAAATTTGCACAAACTAATGGCATACCAATGGTAGTGGGAATTATTGAACTGGACACAAGTACTAAGGGAGTTTATTATAAATAATTATAAAGGAAAAACAAAGCTAATTAAAATTCAAACAGCTTTTAGTTATTATCATGTGAAGACAATTCTGAACGATGTCTACAATAAACAACACTTCCAGAGAAAAGCATTTGTTGGTCAAAGTGCTAAACAATTGCCACTGCTTATATTGAATTTTAAGTACATATCTATATATCTACATCTACCTATATGTGCATCTATCTGTAAAATCAGCCTGTTTGTATTACTTATACTTTCATAAACATTGTATTCTACGTGGAAGTTAATTCAGATATCTGGTTATACAGGTGGCCCCTAGCATGTGTAAACTCTAATAGATTTGTTTCTATGTAATAAAAGAAAAACTTCAGCCAAATTAAGTTTAAAAGAGTTTAATTGAGCAATAAATGATTCGTGAATCAGGCAGCCCCCAGAATCATAGCAGATTCACAGAGATTCCAGGGGTGTCTCGTGGTCAGAACAAATTTATAGACAAAAAGGTAAAGTGACGTACAGGAATCAGAAGTGACGTACAGAAACAGTGAGATTGGTTACAACTCAGCATTTGCCTTATTTGAATGCAGTTTGAACATTCAGCAGTCTATGAGTGGTTGAAGTATGGCCACTGGGATTGGCCAACACTCAGCTATTGTTACAGGTACATACTACTAAGTTAGGTTTTCAATTTTGTCTGACTATTAAGCTAGGTTACAGTTCATCCACAAGAACTCAAATATAGAAGTACGGAGTTCTTTTCAGGCCATATTTAGTTTGCTTTAACATATGTCTTAAGATAATGCTTTTTTCTTTAAAATATATTGCAAGATTTTATCCTAATGTTTAGCACATAAACCACAATTTATATATATATATAGTATATATATATAGTGTGTATATATATAGTGTGTATATATATATAGTGTGTATATATATAGTGTGTATATATATATATAGTGTGTATATATATATAGTGTATATATATATATAGTGTGTGTATATATATAGTGTATATATATATATATATATATATATATATATATATAGTGAGAATGGCAATCATTAAAAAGTCAGGAAACAATGCATGCCGGAGAGGATGTGGTGAAATAGGAATGCCTTTATGCTGTTGGTGGGAGTGTAAATTAGTTCAACCATTGTGGAAGACAGTGTGGTGATTCCTCAAGGATCTAGAACCAGAAATCCCATTTGACCCAGAAATCCCATTACTGGGTATATACCCAAAGGATTATAAATCATTCTACTATAAAGGCACATGCACATGTATGTTAATTGCAGCACTATTCACAATACCAAAGACTTGGAAACAACCCAGATGTCTATCAATGATAGACTGGATAAAGAAAATGTGGCACATATATGCCATGGAATACTATGCAGCCATAAAAAAAGGATGAGTTCATGTTTTTTTGGAGCTACATGGATGCAGCTGGAAACCACTATTCACAGCAAACTAACACAGGAACAGAAAACCAAACACCACATGTTCTCATAAGTGGGAGTTGAACAATGAGAACACATGGACACAGGGAGGGAAACATCACACTCCAGGGCCTGTTGGGGGGTGGGGGGCAAGGAGAGGGAGAGCATTAGGAGAAATACCTAATGTAAATGATGGATTGATAGGTATAGCCAATCACCATGTCACGTGTATACCTATGTAACAAACCTGCACCTACTGCACATGTATTCCGGAACTTAAAGCATAATAAAAAATTTATATGTGTGTGTGTATATACATATATATATATATATATATATATATATATATGAAGTGTTGAAGGAACAATAAAACTTTTACTCTAGAATAGTCTACCTATTGAGATTATCCTTCAAATATGATTAAAAAAAAGAACTTTCCCAGGAAAACAAAAGCTGAGAGACTGCATCAGCACCAGACCTAGCCTACAAGAAATGCTGAAGGGAGTAATTCAATCAGAAAGAAAAAACTGTTAATGTGCAATAAGAAATCATCTGAGGGTACAAAACTAACTGATAGTAGTAAGTACATAGAAAAACATAGAATACTATAACACCGTAACCCTGGTGTGTAAACTACTCTTAAGTCAAAAGACTAAATGATGAACCACTCAAAAACAATAACTACAATAACTTTTCAAGGCATAAGCAGTAAAATATATATATATAAATAGTAACAATAAAAAGTTGAAAAGCAGGGAGAAAAAGCTGAGGTGGAGTCTATCAGTTTTTTTACTTGTTCATTTTTGAAAGCGTTAAGTTGTTATCAACATAAAATAATAAGTTAAAAGACAGTATCTGCAGGACTCAAGGCAACCTAAAACCAAAAAATGTACAACAGAAACAAACAAAAGAATAAAAATAATAAAACAGAATTATTTTACCAGAGAAAATTACCTTCAGTAATAGTAAGATAGGAAGAAAGAAGGAAGAGAAGATCACAAAACAATCAGAAAACAAATAATCAAATGGCAAGAGTAAGTCCTTACTTATCAATAACACCAAATTGAATGTAAATGAACTAAATTCTCCAATAAAAAGGAAGACTGGCTGAATGGATGAAATAAGAAGACTCATTGATCCATTGCCTACTAGAAACACACTACACCTATAAAGACACATATAGACTGAAAATAAAGGGTTTGGAAAAATATTATATGCCAATGAAAATGAAAAGAAGAGCAGAAGTAGCTCTATTTATACCAGACAAAATAAATTTTAAGAAAGAAAGTATAGGAAAAGGAAAGAAGGTTGCTATTTAATGACAAAGGAATCAATTTAGCATGAAAATATAACAATTCTAAATATATATGCACCCAACAATGGAGCACTTGGATATATAATGCAAACATTATTAGAGCTAAAAAGGGAGATAGAATCCAATACAATAAGAGCTGGAGACTTCAACACCCATTTTCAGTATTAGACAGATCTTCCAGACAGAAAATCAACAACAACAACAACAAAAATCAGATTTATTTTTCGCTATAGAACACATAGATTTAATAGATGTTATCAGAACATTTTACCAAATGGCTGCAGAAAACACAACCTATTCCTCAGCAAATGGAATATTCTCAAATATAGACCATATGTTAGGTTACGAAATGAGTCTCAAAGCAGTAAAAAAAAAAAAAAGGAAATAATACCAAGCATATTCTCTGACCACAATGAAATAAAATTACATGTCAACAGGACAAGAAATTCCGAGGAGTATACAACTACATAGAAGTTAAACAATATGCTTCTGAATGACCAGTGGGACAATAAAAAAATCAGGAAGAAAAATGAATAATTTTTAAACAAATGATAATGTAAACACAACATACCAAAAGCTGTGGGATACAGCAAAAGTGGTACTAAGTGGGAATTTTATAGCTATATATCCCTACATAAAGAAGGAAGAAAAACTTCAAATAAACAACCTAATGATGCATCTTAAAGAGCTAGAAAAGCAGAAACAAACCAAATCCAAAATTAATAAAAGAAATAATAGAGCAGAAGTAAATGAAATTGAAATCAACAAAACAATACAAAAGATTAATAGAACAAAATGTACTTTTTGAAAACTGAAACAATATAGACAAACCTTTAGCTGAACTAAAAAAAAAAAAAAGTAGATCCAAACAAATAAAATTAGAGATGAAACAGGAAACATTACAATTGATACTGCAGAAATTTAAAGGGTCATTAGTGACTACTATGAGCAACCATACGTCAATAAATCCCCAAATCTAGAGGAGATACATAAATTCCTAGACAAATACAACCTATCGTGATTGAACCATAAGGAAATACAAAACCTGAACGGACCAATAACGAGATCAAATAAATAATAATAAAAAGTCTCAAAGTAAATAAAAGCTCAGGACCCTATGGCTTTACTTCTAAATTCTACCAAAGGTTTTAAAGAACTAACATAAATCCTACTCAAACTATTCTAAAAAATATAGGAGGAAGGAGTCCTTCCAAACTGATTCTATGAGACCAGTATTACCCCCGATACCAAAAACATACAAAGACAAATCAAAAAGAGAAAACTACAGCCCAGTATCCTTGATATGAATAAATAGATTCAAAAATTCTATACAAAATATTAACAAACCAAATTCCATAATACATTAAAAAGTTCATTAATCATTATCAAGTGTGTTTTATTCTTGGGATCCAAAGATGGTTCAATATATGCAAATCAATAAATGTGATACATCATATCAACAGAATGAAGGACAAAAATCATATCATCATTTCAATTAATGCTGAAAAACATTTGATAAAATTCAACTTCCCTTAATGATAAAAAACATTCATAAAACTGAGTATTGAAGGAATATAACTCAAAATAATAGAAGCCATATATAACACACCCACATCTACTATTGTACTGAATCAGAGAAAAAAACTGAAAACTTTTTCTCTAAGATCTGGAGCACAAGAAGAATGCCCACTTTTACCACTGTTATTCAACATAGTACTGGAAGTCCTACCTAGAGCAATCAGAAAAGAGAAAGATATAAAAGCATCCAAATTGTAAAATGAGAAGTCAAATTATCTTCAATTGCAAATGATTTAATTTTATATTTGGAAAAACTTAAAGACTATACAAGAAAACTATTAGAACTCATAAGTAAATTCAGTTATATTGCAAGATACAAAATATCAGTATCATTAGTATATGCCAACAATAAAAAAACTAAAAACTAAATTTAAAAACTAGTCTCAATTACAATAACTGCAAATAAAATAAAGTACCTAGAAATTAACCTAATCAAAGAAAAATGAAAGATCTCTGTAATAAAAACTATAAAACATTGATGAAAGAAATTGAAGGTAACACCAAAAAAATGGAAAAATATTTTGTTTATAGATTGGAAGAATCAATATCATTGAAATGTCCATACTACCCAAGACAATTTACAGATACAATGCAACCCCTATCAAAATACCAATAACATTCTTCACAGAAATAAAAAAAAATTATAAAATTCATATAGAACCAAGAAAGACCCAGAATAGCCAAAGCCATTCTAAGCAAAAAATGACATAAAATAAAATAAACTACAGGAATTACATTACCTGAGTTTATATTAAACTACAGAGCTAAAGTAAACAAAACAACAGCATGGTTCTGGCATAAAATAAGACAAATAGACCAAAGGAAGAGAATAGACAACAAAGAAACTGTTGCTAAAATAAATGATAATAGGTGGGCAGGCACGGTGGCTCATGCCTGTAATCCCAGCACTTTGGGAGTCCGAGGTGGGCAGATCACAAGGTAAGGAGAACGAGATCATCCCGGCCAACATGGTGAAACCCCGTCTCTACTAAAAATACAAAAATTAGCTGAGTGTGGTGGCGCGTGCCTGTAATCCCAGCTATTCGGGAGGCTGAGGCGGGAGAATGGTTTGAACCAGGGAGTTGGAGGTTGCAGTGAGCTGAGATAGTGCCACTGCACTCCAGTCTGGCAACAGAGTGAGACTCCGTCTCACAAAAAAACAAAAAAAAAAACAAAAACAAACAAAAAAATGATAATAATAAATCCATACACATGCAGTGAACCTATTTTCGACAAAGGTGCCAATAAAATACACTGAGGAAAAGACAGTCTTTTCAATAAATGGTGCTGGGAAAACTGGGTATCCATACACATAAGAATAAAACTAGACCTCAATCACTTTTCGTATACAAAAATCAAATCAAAATGGATTAAAGACTTAAACCTAAGACCTCGATCTATAAAACTACTGCAAGAAAACATTGGGGAAACTCTCAAAAGTCTGGCAATACATCAGTCTGGGCAAAGATATCTTGAGCAATATCCCACAGGCACGGGCAACCAAAGCAAAAAATGGAGAAATGGGATCACATGAAGTTAAAAAGCTGCTGCACAGCAAAGGATATGATCAACAAATTGAAGAGGCAACCCACAGAATGGGAGAAAATATTTACAAACTACCCATCTAACAAGGGATTAATAACAATAATATATATGGCACCTTAATAACTCTATAGAGAAAAAATCGAGTAATCTGATCCACAAATGGACAAAAAATCTGAATAGTCATTTCTCAAAGGAAGACATGCAAATGGAAAACAAGCATATGAAAAAAATGCTCAACATTATTAATCACCGGAAATGTACATCAAAATACCATCTCACCCCAGTTAAAATGGCTTATATCCAAAAGACAGGCAATAACAAATGCTGGTGAGGATGTGAGGACAAAGGAACTCCTGTACACTGCTTGTGAGAAGGTAAATCAGTGCAAGCACTATGCAGAGCAGTTTAGAGGTTCCTCAAACAA